>NC_000013.11:68408106-68559621 GCF_000001405.40 Homo sapiens | reverse complement strand
GGGTGCTTGCAATTTCCCAGGATAGAAATCAGGAGACAATACCAAACATAAGTTTATTCAGCTTATACACCAGGGAACCAGCAACAAGCAAGGAAGAGGAAGTAGCTGCTCCCCAGAGTAGAGTGGGTTAATTTTGTAGGGTCTTATTGTAGGGAAGGGTTATATCAGAGCATGTATAGGAAGGGTTTTTCTAGTGCTTGCATGATGGGTCACGATGTGTCTTTATACATCGATATGTAGCATTCGTATTTTAAATATCCACCTCTGGGCATGATTTTTAGCATTAAAATGAGGAAGGGGTAACTATAGGTTAGAGTTTAAGTCTATGTAAAGTTTCCAGGGAAGTCCCTAGCCCCGTGAAATAGGAGCTTGTGGTTAATAGCTTTTTGGGTCTTTTGCTAGTGATTGGCTGAGAGTTGTATAAGCTCAAGCTTGAGTAAAGAGCTTTTGTCCTTTTCTTCTAGACCATCTTAAAATAGGGAGTCAATTAGCTTGCTGTCTCATTCTCCCTTGAGAGACTGTATACTCCTTATTTTTAAGGGGTCCTGGGTAAAGATTTCTTCTTCTGAAGCTATTTCTTATTAAGCATGGGAGTAGTTCCCTCATCTGTTTGCAGGAGTAGACGTCTCTCCCAGCTTGGTGAAGGGGCCAATATTGCTCCGGGCTGGTGGTCTCTGGAACAGGCTCAAAAACTTAACGACCATTAACTTGACATGATATTGGTCTAGTCTAGAAGACACATCTTTTACCAGTAGATTAAACAAACAGAGCCAAAAATTTAAGACGAGGATAGCCGATGAGAGTCCTATGAAAGAAGAAACCAAGTTATATAGGGTAAGGTTGATTTTATAGCATCCCATATAGAGTCAGCTGTTAAATCCTTTTTAACAAAAGAGTGTAGACACGTTTCCTGATTATAGAATGCTTGGATATTAACTTCTACTTGCCCTGTGGTATTCATCTAAGTACAGCAGGAAGTGTTGGTGACTGTGCATATACCTTCTTGTTCTGCCAGTACATAGTCTAGAACCAAGGAGTTATCCAACAACACATAAGCAAGAGAATTAAGAGAGGTCTTTAGATCTCCTAGAGCCTCTACAGTCTGGTTCACTATATGACCAATCTGTTGTGTCAGATTGTGTAAGGTGACCTTAGGGTAGGTGAAACTTCTCCAAGGGCCCGCTAGGCAAATAGGCCTCTTCCTGCTATGACCATGCTAAGCCCTTGCCTTGCTAGAATAGGGGCCTCATGTTGAGCGGTAGAGTTATGGATGGTTATTCCATTTAACCCTATCATTCTCAAGGATGACTCACTTATTAATTATACATTGTCTATGCAAGAATAGGCTTGCTCCAGCAGAATAAAAGTATAAGGAGAGTGGGCAGTGGGCCACAGGAGGCAGTTATGAGCATTGCCACAAAGAGAAACAATTCTTGGAGTGGCACAGATGTGAATGCCCTCCTGAGTGTGATTGAGAATTATGAGATTCAGGTTATGAATTGTGCAGTTGGGGGATAGCAAGCAATGCTCCTGATAATTGTTTGCATATTGCTCCATGTTTTCCTGTCCTAGGTGGTCATGGATGAACTTTGAGGTATCCTGGAGCAAGGTAGATCTGCTCCCATAGCTGAGCTTGTAATTTGCTGTGAACCCTTTGGACAGTGTGAAGCTATATTTCCAAAGTGGTGGGATGTTACCCTGCCAGTATTCACACACCCTTAAATAATTAGAGAAGGTTTTGCTAGCAAGCTTGGGCACATATATCCCTAGTAATTCTACAGGGCACAGTGAGTTAAGTTATATGTACAGGTATTTAAGTTAGAGGTGGGGTGCCAAGTAAAGTTGTAACAAGAAGGAAAATTGCAAGGAATCCACCTTGCTCAGGTGAAGTTTAATTCCTCATTTCCTAAAGCAACAGAATAGTTTTTACATGGGGTAAGATTAAAGAAAGAAACTTGATGAGTAGGAGGCAGTCTGAAAGTTAAAGGATTGGGTTTAGACCGCTGGCCTCTATTTAAACAATGTATGGTCAGGTTAAGGGTAGATGGGATTAAAGGGGCCATGAAAAGAACCCCTGAAGAGAGCTGATGGTGCTGGTGGCAGATCCAGCAGTTAGAAATGAATTCTCCTTTACTGAGATGTTGGAGAAGTTGACCAGGATTTTGCAACTCCAGAGACCCTGTGCCTAGACTAAAATGAAGAGGGTACAGTAATATATAGGAAGAAGAGTGCACAATAGGAGCATAATTAATATTCAAGGGAGGATACAAGTTGGCTTAATAACTACGCACCAGCAGGGTGACTTGATTTTAGCCAATAGGGAGCAGGATAATACAATCAATAGATTAGTAAGAACATACTGATAATTTTTGTTTGTTTTTGAAACAGCGTTATCAGTCTGTTGCCCAGGCTGGAGTACAGTGGTGCGATCTCGGCTCACCGCAACCTCTGCCTCCCGGGTTCAAGGGATTCTTGTGCCTCAGCCTCCCAAGCAGCTGGGACTACAGGCTGGCACCGCCATGCCTGGATTTTTTTTTTTTGGTACAGATGGAGTTTCAGCATGTTGGCCAGGCTGGTCTTGAACTCCTGACCTCAAGTGACCCATCTACCTTGGCCTCCAAAAGTGCCGGGATCGCAAGTGTGAGACACATGCCCAGCCTAGAAAACAGTAATAATTAACAGCAAATGAAGAGTGAGTACACATGTATCCATCAATTATATAAGGGTGTTACTTAGCTTTATTGCTATCTCCTGGAGGCAGTGTCTTGACTATGTGCTTGAGGTCTTCCACAGGAGTAAGCTGTTTCCTCTGAGCAGGCCTATTAATTGGGAGATGCAAACGTTTTTATTCTAGAGAGGTGGACTCAACTGTGAAGTTCTTCCAACTTTATGGATTTTAAAGTGGCCAAGACAACCTGGTAAGGACCCTTCCATTTTTCAGTTAACTGATCCTCTGGACTTTCTTTTTACCATGTCTTGAGTAGGACCTGTGAACCTGGGCTAACAGGGAAATGATCTGAAACTCCCTTACCTGGCTGAGGCAATATTTTATTATCATATTGGATGATTGCCTGCTGAACTTGTCCCAAATTAATGATGTATTTTAGAGCTTGATTTAAGTTTTCATCTAATAGAGAGCTTGTTTTGAGAATAAGCTGCCCACAGGTTATTTCAAAGGGGTGAGCTTTAAGTTTCCCTTGAGGCAGCTCTTAATGCTTAGTAAAGCAATAGGGAAAAGCTTAATCCATGATTCCTGGGCTTCTTGGCATAATTTAACCAAGATTCTTTTAAGTGTTTGATTCATTGTCAACCTTCCCAGAGGACTGAGGAAGCCAAGCCAAGTGAAATTTGTATATAAATGCCAAGAGTGATAGACAGCACATTGGTGATCTGGGTGATAAAAGATATTCCAGACTGGATGAGGAGAGTAAACTTTAAGGGGATGAACTAGTGTGAGTTTGGAGACCTCTCTGACCAAGCGGCTGGTGGCCTGCCACTGCCGTGTGGCAGTGGGGCTACCTAGGGGCTACTGAATTCAATTGCTTTGAAAAGTAAGCCTCTGGCATTTGGATAGGCCCTAACTTCTAAATTAGGATTCCCAGGGCTTGCTCAGACCTCCCTTGTACAATGAAGAAGAAAAGCTTCCACAAATCTGTGAGTCCCAAGACAGGGCCTACCATAACACAGATTTTAGGTTTTCATATGCTTGCTGTCAGACCTTGTCCCAGCAGAATCTTTCTCTTTCTCCATCCTTGAATGACGTATAAAGGGGGTTGACTATGAAGACAAAGTTTATAATCTAAATATGGCAGAACCTGTCCATTCCCAGAAATCCCCTTAGCTCTCTTCTAGTACCATGTGGTAGTGAAGCAATGGCCTGCTTTAGGTCTGGGACAAGCATCCTGGCTCCCTGGGTAAGAATTAATCCTAAGTATTAAACCTGTGTCTGGGAAATCTGGGCCTTTGAGGAGATGACATTATGGCCCCATTCAGCCAAGAAATTTAAAGCTTTAGTGGTATTTTCTTGAGAACTATGGAAGTCCTCATTAGCAATAAGCAAACTGTCCATGTATTGCAGCAAATTTCCACTTGTAAGTTTAAGTTCTCGAGGTCTTTTGCCAAGTCTCACCCAAAGAGTGGGGGCTATCCAGAAACCCATAGAGTAGCACTATCCGGGTATACTGTGAAGATTCCTGGATCTCTGGATCCTTCCATTAAAGGACAAACATGTAGGTGGAGTTAGGAAGCAGTGGTATACAAAAGAAAGCATCTTTTAGATCTAGCACAGTGTAGAACTAAGTGTACCCAGGGATTTGGGAGAGGATAGTGTATGGATTAGGGACCATAGGATAAATGAGAATAAACTGAGTCATTCACTGCCCTAAGGTCTTGAACTAAGTGCTACTCCTCATGTGTTTTTTTCACAGGCAGGATTGGAGTTTTACAAGAAGGCTGGCAAGTCTGAGTCAGCCTGTACAATAGAAATTTTTCCAGGAGGGGCCATATCTTCTGTAGGGCTTCTGGTCTCAAAGGGTATTGGTGCTTGCATGGGTAGGGAAGGCCTGGCTAATGCTTTATGTTAATAGGCTCTCCATTGATGGCTTGTCCCAGAGTACTGTTATTCCATATGAACTTTGCCACTCAAGCCACTGTGTCTTCCAGGATGGGGGCAACTTCTGATCTTGGGTAACCAAAAGGGCCAGTACATGGATCTCCTTCTCAAGGGGGGACTGAGACTTGTAAGAGATTCCCCTGGAGGGAAACTGAGGCTCCAACCTTGGATAATAAATCATGACCTATTAAAGGAAGAGAACACTCAGGGACATTCAGGGAGGAATGAGTAATTGCCTTAGATCCAATTTCACAAGTTAAAGGAAAGGTGAACCCTCCATTCCAATCACTTCAGCTGGCATTGGAGTTGTCCCATAGGTTGGGTCAGGACATAGCCTGTGGCCCTGGCATCCAATAAGAATCCAGATTTTTCTGCCTGTAACCTCAATGTTGACCCAAGGCTCCTCAGTGGTGATGGCAATGAAACTCTTCAGGATTGCAGCCAGATAAGCAGTTTGGCCCCCTCAGGAGGAGGGGGTAGCCTTCTCATCCAAGAATCTAGCAATAAGAGGAGTGGGTTGAGGAGTTTCATTCTCTCTCAGCTTCCCTGGATGGGATGGGGAGTCCCTTTTCCAGTGCTCCTTCTTCTTACAGTAAGCACATTGTTTGCACCCAGTCCTATCGCAGCTGGTGGAGGTCTGGTTGCCCCTGTTTGGGTGTATTTCTGTTGCCTAGGGTCACCTCAAGGCAGACTTGTAATTATGGCAGCCAGAATTTGTGCCTTCTTTTTAATTCTTTCATCTTTCTTTTATTTGTTGTCCCACTCATGATTGTTAAAAACCACAAAGGCCTCTGCTACTAATGTTGCCTTTGTGTTCTGGGGGTTAGTTTTAAGTTTCTGAAGCTTTCTCCAAATATCTGGCACAGCTTGGGTTATATCTGGGCCAGAAGTGTTTGACCCTCATCAGGCTTTACGTATATATAAATATACTTTCTGAAAGGTCAAAGAGCCTATTAAAATACATAGGCAGATTTTCATTCCTTTTCTGAGTAATTTTGTTCACTTTGCCATAATTTAGTCACTTTTTTTGGTACCTTCTCATTCCCTCTGATATGCAATTGAGAAAATGACCTATTCTTGACTGGTTTCTTCTATCCTCATAAACCCATTGGGGGTTTTGTTTTGGGACCACTTCATCAGATGCCTGGTAAATGACATGGCCAGGATCAGATCTAGTAATCTCATCTGCATGTTCTCTGGCCTTTCTCAAGATCTGAGCCTTCTCATTAGGAATACAAAAATGGTTCAGAACTACTGCAACATTGTGGCAAGTCAAGGAAAAGGTTACACCCAACTTAAATAAATTCAATTCTAAACATATCTGGATTTTCCAACAACCAGCTACACTACTCCTTGCATTGACTTATCATTGAAAGGGGGTACCCCCAAGCCATCTCTCCAATTCCATCCATTAGTTCTCAGAGGGCAAAGCAGCCCTGGGCTGGTGGGGAAGTAAAGGAGAGTGCCAGCTTGGAACCCAAATGCGACCCCATTGGAGATAGCACCAGGGGTTGTTTGAGAGTGAAAAGGGAACACTTCCCTGACCCAGCTTGATATGGAAGAGGCTCAGGGCTGGAGGAATGAGAGCCCACCATGGCAAAGGAAGTGCTGTTCCTGACCGCCCCTGGAGAGGCATCACGAAGATAGGATCTAGAGGGTCAATGTCTAAGGCAGACATTGACTCCTCTTTCAATTGTTGTTTAAGAGATGCCACACAGGCTCTGTAAATGTCTCAGAGCTGGGATCCTGGTATAATTTCATAAAGGCCAGCACATATAGCATTTCAATCCATTTATTAGGATTTCTGCAATACAAATCTTATTGTAAAATAGTATAATACACAAAGATCCATTATTAGGTCAATTTCTCTTGCTTCAACAGGGGATGCTGAGGCCAAGCAACATGACAGAGAACCATCAGCTTCTTTTTTAGATTATCCAAATTAAATTGACCCCAATTACTGAGGATGCATTATATGGGGGAATCTTTTGGAACATTTGTAGTGTTTTCCATAATATAGCTCACGTCCTATAATCAAGGGGCCTGGCAAGGGGTGGGGCCCCCAGTTCTTACAATTATTACAGTTGTACTACTCCTCCTGGTCTCATTCAGCCAGCACCTCAATTTCTTAATGAGGGCCAAACAAGACAGGGAGGATGAGGGAAGGGGATCTGAGTGAGGGGGCTTGAGAGCCTCTAGCTCTTGAATTTTGGATGACAACCCTCAAAATCTAATAGACTACATATTTTGTACCAGCTCCAAGTAGAACTTACCCTTACTCCACATTCGTTGACAGACTCTATAACAAGGGATGAGGTGATGGACCAGAAAAACAAAAAGAGGAAAGTGGTGATTTGTCCTAGTGAGTAATTCCTTCTCCTGGGAATCGTGAAAAGTCATGTCACACATGCAACAAGGAACAGTGAGGAAACACATTTTTGCTTAGACAAATGACAAAAGAAATTGCAAACTTATAGACCCCACAAAGAAGACAAAAGTTGACGTAACTACTAAGAGGTTTCGAAGTTGGAGAAAAAAGGTCAACTTCCGGTTGCCAGCTGCTTTTTAGCTAGTACAGGAACAGGGGACAATTCCCCAGTTCAATACCAGATAAATGAGCCAGAGTCACTCCAGCCACCTAAACAGAACAGAAGATAGGTAAACAGGAGTCACTCCTTTTGCCCAAACAGAAACTGAAACCAAGGCTCCATGAGTCAATTAACTAAACACCAGGACTCAGGAGTCAAAACAGATGACAAGGAGAAGATGAAGGGAAAATATGGAAAGGAGAAACAAGAGGGAAGATAGAGGGAAGAAGAAAGGGAACAGGGACCCACCTAGAGTCCAGACCTGACTCACCAAGGCACCAATGCAAAAACAATAGTCCAGAATGGCCACTTTTGTTCATGTCCTGTCAGCTGCCTCCATCCTCTGGCCAGTCACACTGACTACCCTAAAAGGTCCTAAAAGAAGTGTTCCATCTGGGGTGCCAGGAAACATTACCACAGCCCTAGACTCTTATAGTCTCTCCAGATAGAAATCAGGGAAGCTCACCAAACATAGCAGCAAAGGAAAGTTTATTCAGCTTGTGTACAAGGGAGCCAGCACTGATAAAGGAAATGGGCTGCTCCCCGAGGGTAGTGTATGGGTTAGTTGTATAGGGTCTTTCTATAGGGAAGGGTTGCATCAGGGCATATATAGGAGGGGTTTTTCTAGTTTTTGTGCCATGGCTCAACATGTTTCATACATCATATGTAGCATTAGCTTTTTATGAATAAATATCCAACCCGGGGCATGATTTTTAGCATTAAAATTAAGAAGGGTTACCTATAGTTTAGGGAAATCTGTGTTTACAGGGCTCTTGGGAAGTTTCTAACCCCTGAAATAGGAGTTTGAAGTTAATATCCTCTTGGGTCTTCTGTTACTGATTGGCTGAAAGTTATATAAGCTTAAGCTTGAGTGAAGGGCTTTAATCCTTTTCCTCCAAATCATCTTAAAATAGGGGATCAACCAGCCTGCCTGCCTGTCTCAGTGTTATAGTAGGCAAAGATCTATCAGATGTGAAGAATAACCATTTAAAAAGATTGCATTTTGTTAGATATTTAAAACTATTTTTGAGACATTAAGAAAATGAAAAGGGAAGTCACAAATCGAGAGTAATATTTTAAATTATATACTAACAAAGTACTTGTATTCAGAATATACAATAAATAAAATCTGGACCAATATTTAAGTAAATACTTTTCAAATATACATATATATAAAGTGGATATAATTATGTGGAAAAAGTTTTACATGGTTAGTAATTAAGGCAATACATATTAAAACCACACTGAGATACCACTGTACACCAACTTTAATGGCTAAAAATAAAGTGAGTGATAACAGTGCTAGCAAGATGTAAAATGACTGGAATGTGAATATGTTAGTATTAGGAATGGAGATTAGTACAGCAACTTTCAGGAGAAGATTGTCAGTATAAGCATGTGCTGCCTCGTATAGACCTATAATTTAGAAATTTTCTTGCCTATATTTTAGTACTATTTTCATGACATTCACCAGAATTAGGACAGTAGTTATTTATTACTTGAATGACTGTGATGAGATCAGCAAATTAAAAAAGGTTACAACTCTTTTTTTTTGAGTTGTGTGTTATGTATATGGGTATAGTGAGTGTGTGTGTGTGTGTTTGTTGTCAATGTATACAAGATCTAAATAATTCAAATGGCTTCTAAACTCTCCTCCCCATCATAGGCATTTGCTCTATTACTTGAAATTATACCTTGCCATATGACTTCCTTGGGTAAAAATGTGCTGTTTGTACCTTGTCTACAGAATTAAAACATTCCATTTATGTGACATTTAGCCAGGGTGATTACAGGACACAGTCCCCCTGGGGCAGTCTCAGTTCATGCCACTGCCTTATAATTATTAATAACACTGTCTTTCACTCCCACTGGTTTGGTTAATAATGTGAGTCAACTACACAGGGGTCACAGACCATGCATATTCATCTGTATCATGACTACTCATTTCACTCTACCTCACTTCAGATACATAGGGACCTTTCCTGAAGAATGCTTTTTCTTCCTCGTATGTCAGTGTTCTTTTTGCCTCTGACCATAATTGCATTTCTCCTTTCTCTCAGACTGAGATGGTGATCCTTCATAGATAAGCATAAATATTTTTTTGTCAAAGCTTTTATCCCTGCTCATCTGAAGACGCTGCCCTTGATGTTAAAACTATTTTTCCTTTGTCCTTTTTCCAGTACTCATTACAGTGGATTGTTCTTCATCATGTACTTTTCTTACCTGTGAGATTGAATACATGTCAAGGGCAAAGAGCATGACTTACTCGTCTTTGACTTTTTCTTAATGCCTATCACATTGCTGACACATAATAGTGTTCCATAAATATCTAATGAATAATTAAATACAATGACTTATTTGACTGCCTTGGTATTGTTTAACTATGTAACCATTTTGTAAAGCTGGTAAGGGAAAAGGAATGAGAAAAGAGACATTCAAGGATTTTACTAGACTTTTAAAGGGACTACGATACCATATATTAAATTATCTTGCTCTAAAACAGTTCATATAGTTTTCAGAATTCTGAGTTAAATTTAGCATTATCCATTAGAGGAATCAAGTCATGGATGACTTTTGAAAATTTTCTCCTTCGGTTATGAATGAAAATTTTATTTAAGATAATTTATTTATAACATTTTTAAATTCTATTGATTTTTTTGGTTAAAAAAGTTAATAAAAATGATTTGTTAGACTAAAGTAAATTTTATACATATTACAATAATGTAAAATGTGACATATACTTAACTCTGCAAATGATGCCACCATCATTGTATCAAAATATTTAAAACTACATGCACAAATTAAATTAGATGATAACGCAGCTTAATTATTAAGGAGTAAAATTGTTTAAAATTATAAAACACCTAGTAGAGCAGAAAGTTATATATTATAGTTTTGAAAAAGAAAGTCAATTTAATCAGGTAATTAATTAATCTTTTTTTTTTTTTTTTTTTTTTGAGACGGAGTCTCGCTTTGTCACCCAGGCTGGAGTGCAGTGGCGCAATCTTGGTTCTCTGCAAGCTCCGCCTCCCGGGCTCACGCCATTCTCCTGCCTCAGCCTCCCGAGTAGCTAGGACTACAGGTGCCCGCCACCACGCCCAGCTAATTTTTTTGTATTTTTAGTAGAGACGGGGTTTCACCGTGTTAGCCAGGATGGTCTCGATCTCCTGACCTCGTGATCCGCCCACCTTGGCCTCCCAAAGTGCTGGGATTACAGGCATGAGCCACCACGCCTGGCCAGTAATTATTTAATCTTTAAGCATATTTTAAAATAAGATTGGTGATATATCATAACATGTCTGAAATAAATTATGCACTTTCAAGGATAAAACTTTATTAAGAAAATAAAAACATTATCAAAAATCACCCAAGTACATTTTTAATGGGAAACGTAGATTTTGAGTTGTGAAACTACTACATTCTTAAATGTAATCATATCTTGGAACATAAAACATAGAAGAAAACACTAAAATTTATTTAATAACTTTCTCACATTTATAAATTTGAATAAATTGTTCAGAAACAAAGTTCCTTGATGTAAGCATCATAAGCAGAGGAGGAGTTTATGGTTTTCGTATTTTTGTATTTTGTAAACTAACGGTTTCCCTGGTCTAAGTTATTTTCTAATTCTGTGAATAAAACAATACCTGCAAATGACATTTGCTTTGCTGACCCATTAACTATAATTTTCTCAGTGTTAGTGTGTAGCTCACACCAATCCATATGTTTATATCAAAACTTTTTAATATTTCTCTTCTAAACTATGTTTTTAAGTGTCATGTCTTAGGAACCTTGGCATTTGTTATCTCTAACAATCAAGAAATATAAATTTCAACTTTGCACTTTTTGCTACTCACCAATATTTGTTTATTATAATAGAAAAAAGTGCATTGGACATGGTTATTAAAACATTATTACATAAGAATAATTGAAAAATACAAACAATTTCCTTGTACATAGATACATTTATTCATTTAATCTCAAAGATATTTCAATAGTGAAATAAGCCAGACACAGAAAGATAAATACTGTATAATCTCACTTATATGTGAAATCTGAAATAGTTGCATAGAGACAGGGAGCAGAATGCTGCTTGACAGAGGCTGGAAGGAGGGGAAAAGGGGGAGATGATAGTCAAAAGTTACATAGTTTCAGTTATGGAAGATAAGTTCTGGATACCTACTATTGCATAATGCCCAGAGCTAACAATACTGTATTGTATAGTAAGTCCTCATTTAATGCTGTCAGTGCGTTGTTAAAAACTGCAACTTCAAGCAAAATGACATAGAAGAAAACCAATTTTACCATAGGCTAATTGATATAAACAAGAGTTAAGTGGCTAGCACATATTTGTGGTCACAAAAACATCACCAATCTTCTAAATAAAGACTCAAAACACTTTAATATTAAACATTGAAATAAATGTGAGCTATATATTTATGTAAGGAAGAGTAATAAAAACAAGGAAGATAATTATGTACAAAATTTTTGGTGAATCAGCAAGCAATGGCAGTTGCAGTGGTGGTGGATTAAATAAAGGGATACATGTTGGCAAAACAAAAATTGTAAGGAGCGCCTCTTATTACCACAAAGTTAAACAATCAGAAATAGAGCAGACTCACTGAGCACTTTTATGCTGCATTGTTTATTGTCATGCATTTGTATGCATTCATTCATTGATTTTCCAACCTGCTTATTCCAGTTAAGGGTCCTGGGTGGCCATAGCCCATTCAGGTAGCTCTGCGTTCCTAGTGGAACCAGCCCTGGACAGGATGCCACCTCATTACAGGGTGCACTCACACACACACCCACACTCACTCATGCAGGTACAAATGTAGACATGATAATTCAACTCACGTGTACATCTTTGGGATGTGGGAGGAAACCAGATCATCTGGAGAAAACTCACACAGAAAGGGAGAGAAAGTGCAAACTCTACATCAGACTCCAAGTTCAGCTTTTGGACTCCTGGACTTGTACCAGTGGTTTGCCAGGGACTATTGGGCCTTCGGCTACAGAGTGAAAGCTGCACTGTCGGCTTCCCTACTTGTGAGGTTCTGGGACTTGGACTGGCTTTCTTGTTCCTCAGCTTGCAGATAGTCTATTGTGGGACTTCACCTTGTGATCATGTAAGTCAATTCTCTTTAATAAACTCCCCTTCATATACACATATATCTTATTCCTTCTGCCCCCTTACAGAACCCTGACAAATACAGCATTCTTAACACACACACACAAACACAGACACACACACACAATAATAATGATATTAATAATGAAGAGGCTGTGAGGAAACTTTTGGAGGTGATATGTTTATGGCCTTGATGATGGTAGTGGTTTCACAGGTGTATACTTATCCTCAAACTCATTGGAATTATATACCTTAAATATGTACCATTAATTTAGAATGAATTCATGTCACTTAGCTAATATTCATTTGTAGCATATGCCTAGTTCTGTATTAAATGTCTTTATGGGCATGTCTTTATGGAAAAAATAAATCTCTGCCTTCATTGGAGTTTATACCCTAATGGAGAGAAATACTGTCAAGTATTTGATATGTATTCATGTGGTTTTTCCTCCATACATTTTTTTCCATTTTTAATTGGAATCATATCATATAGAAAGTATTGGGACTATTTTTTAATATTGTATTATGACATCAAATATCTTAATATGTGATTATTACATGCTGAAATATTCTATTTTTTTATATTGATACATTATGATTTTTTTAACAAACTAGTTGTCAATAATTACTATTATAAAAATAAAACTGAATATTTCCTTAAGAGAAATTGTCTTCTTACTGCAAAAGCCTGTTTCCTGATTGAGAAAATCTTCTGGGCCTTTTTAAACAAGCTCAGTAATCCTTACATATTTTCTTACTTAGCTCTCATTTTTCTTTTTTCTTGTTAGCTATTTCAAATCTTTTCTGAAATCTTTAAACTTCTCAGCTGACTTATGTCTTACTTTACCCACAAAACAGAATCAATCAGGTAAGAACTCAGTTCTCTCACCAACCAAACAGTAACTTATCTCTACAGGCACCTATATTTTTAGATTTCCCTTCTTTTACAATTGAAAAGTTTATTTGGCTCCTTTTTTTTTTTTTTTCCTTTTAAGACAGGGTCTGGTGCTGCCCCCAACTCTTGGACTCAAGGAATCCTCCTACCTAAGTCTCCCACTAGCTAGAACTATAGGCACGTGCCACCACACCAGGCTAATGATTTGGTCCATTTCTAGAGCTAATAGTTCCAATATCCAAGATTCTATTACATTAGGTCTTTCAATGAACAAAAGCCTATTTGTTATTCACGATTTTTCCTTTTTTAAAACCTCTCACTTTATAAAGAATTATCCGAATTAAAACCTATAGATTTTTATATTGAATTAAAAACCTGTAGGTTTTTTACAACTACGTGTGATAAATTTTGCTTTAATTTATTTTGAATGTGTGTGGATCAGATAAACATTTTTTGCTTGCTTATTTGTTTGTTCATTTTGTTTTGTTTTTACATATGAATGACCCAATTGCCAACATGATTTGTTAAAAAGATTCTACTTTCTAGGTTGCATTGCACTATATCACAATTCGTTTACTCATTCATGAATATTTTAACCTTTTAACTATAATAAATAGTTGTCAATATGCATGCACCAGTTTTAATTTTTTCCCCTGCTTTCAATTATTTTGAATATATATCTAGTAGTACGAATGCTGGCTCATATAATAATTTTATGTTTAGTTTATTGAGGAGTTGCCAAACTGCTTCCAGAATAAATGCATCATTTCACATTTCCACCTGTAATGTATAATGGTTCAATTTCTCTATATATCTTCATAAATATTTTCTTTTTTTTTATTCTTTTTTGCCAGGCACAGTGGCTCATGCCTGTAATCCCAGAAATTTGGGAGGCCAAGGTGAGAGGATCACTTGAGCCTAGGAGTCTGAGACCAGACTGGGCAACACAGGGAGACTCCATCTCTAAAAAATTTTAAAAATTAGCTGGGCATGGTGGTGCATGCCTGTGTTCCTAGCTATGTAGGAGGCTGAGATAGGAGGATCACTTGGGCTCTGGAGGTTGAAGCATCAGTGAGCCATGATCATGCCATTGCACTCTAGCCTGGGCAACAGTGAGACTCTGTCTCAAAATTTTTTTTTTCTTTTTAACAATGATAGCCTTCCAAGTGGGCATTAAGTGATGTCTTTATTGTGGTTTTGATTTAGATTTCACTAATGGCTATTAACATTGATATCTTTTCATATTTTTATTGATTATCTGCAGAAGAAACAACTATTTAAGCACTTTGCCTTTTTCAAAAAAAATTGGATAGTTTTTTTGTTGTTTAGCTGTAAGAATTCTTAATTCTGTATAATGGACTATAATTCTGTATAATGGACTCTTATTATATTATGACTTGCAAATATTTCCTTTTAATATTTGAATTGCCTTTTTACTCTCTTGGTAGTATTCCTTGACACACAAAAATTTATAATTTCAATGAAATTCAACTTATGTATATATGTATATTTACTTATAAATATATGTATATTTCTTTGCCTTTCACATTATTTTCTCTCAGTTTTTCAATTTGATCAATCTCTATTGATCTATATTTAATTTTAAATTTAGAGCTTTTCAGTTTTTAAAATTTTCATCTTTTTTAAATTTTTTGATGCCAGTGTTTATGTCTGCTTATATTTTGTGCATTTAAAGAACAAAATTTTTAGGTTCAAGGAAGAATTCTCATGGTTTTTCTAATTGAGTAAAACAGAAAATACAGGTTTTGCAAATTGCTGGGCCCTTTCTTCTTAAATCGAGTATCTGTGAAAGTCAAGTTATGAACTATTAAAAGCTGAATTCTTAGCTTCATTACACTTTTGTGTCACCTGGAAACTTTAGGTGTTTATACACACATACATACACACACACATGGTTTATATAAATATATGTAGAAATACATATATATGTTGTACATACACACACATATATATGATGTTCAACATAATGTTTGAAATACCTATACATTGTGGAATAACTAAATCAAACTATTTAATGCATACATTACCTCACATACTTACTTTTTTTATTATGAGAACACTTAAAATCTACTCTTTCAGCAATTTTCAAGTATACAATACATTGTTATTAACTCTAGTCACCATGTTGTGCAATAGATTTCTTGAAATTACTCTTCCAGTCTAACTAAAATTTTCGACCCTTTGAACATCTGATTTTTCTTTATATCTTCTATTGTAACGTTTGATTCAAGATAATTTGTTTTGCTCATTTAAGCATTTAAAAAAATGGTTTAAAATATTAGATATTTATAGCATCTGTGTCATCTTGGTGTTTGTAGCCTATTTATTTTTCCTATGTGAGTTGATATTTTCCTGGTTCTTCATATAATGAGCAAATTTGTATACTCTCAACATTTCGTTTATTACATTATAAGACTCTGAGTCCAGTTTAAAGTCTATACATAATGTTGTTAATTTTATTTTTGCAGAATACTGATCTGTTTACTTTTGGGTTTCAAGATCCCACCTGCCTTCTATGGCTATATGGTTCCAGTACCAGTTCAGTTTACAAAAACATTGTACAGTTCTTTCTTTTTATTATCTTTTTGTGTCACCCAGTAGATTGTGACCTATTAATTAACAGTTCTCAAAATATTTGGTCCCTGTTAAGATCTAATATATATACATGCAGCTCAGGGTTAAACCTTGAGGTTCATAAAAATAATTTTATTGGATTGCTTTCAGGAGTTCTTCCATCTTCATCATCCCTTCCAGATTTTGCTGTCCCCAGTAGATCCCCTTTCTGGCCACCTGAGTATAAACTTGAGTTTTTGGACACTCTTCCATGTCCCTTCATTTTTGGTACAACATTCATGTCCAAAAATTGGAGGGAAAAGTAAAAGGAAACAAAGCAGTTAGTGTCACTCCCACATTCACGGAATCACATCTCTGAGAGAAAGCTTTTCCCTCTCTGAGTTGATTCCTACTGGCCTCTTATATGGCTGCTACTACCTCTGTGAGATTGCTGGGGAGATGGGTAGGAGAGAATGGATAAATTGGAGTAAAGAAAAATAAATGAATTTCTGCAAACCAAATATTAAGATTTACTTTTTTGTCTGCTTAAATCAGAATTAGAGGAAAATAACTGTGTCATTGTGCACATTTCTAGGTTGCTGACTGTGTTACCGTCAGGGTGAGAGATACTGGAGGGAAAACATGGTAAACTCACTGCCAGTGTGGTAGTACATTGGATTTTCATGTTAATTGCTGAACCACCTACTGCTGTTTACTTTTCTTAGTCCTTATATTGTTGCTGCATATATTCTGTCCAGGTTCTATAGTTGTATTCAGTGGGAGAGTCAGTTGACATATACAAAATCCATATTTCCCCCAAACAGAATTCCAGGTTACTGTTTATCAGGCTGGAATATCATTTGTAATATACTCACTTAAAACCTCGAAAGCTATCAATCCTTTTGGATCCTAGGATCGTTTTGGATCACTATAAACACTTTTCAAATTGTGGTGCAGGAAACTAATCTCTGCTTTTCAAATTTACATTGTATTTAGAACAAGGCTTTAGTGTTGTTTTTTTTTTTTCAAAAGCCATATATCTTAGCTCTCGTTTTAGAGTTTGTCCTGAACCAATATAATAGAAATAGCTGGAGTTGCCATACCCTACCTCAAACCCCATATTCACAGCTAACTGAGATATTCAATGTAAATAATTAAGTCTATCATGTGGAAAATGAACATCAGCATGTCCTTTTGAAGGGCTTAAAAGATCCAAATCTCCACAAGTTTCTGGGTTTTCTCATATCACAGTAGTATCTTCCATAGTTTTATCCATAGTCATCAGTCAAGGTAACTTTATGATAAAAAATAGATTTTGTAAGTCAGCAAGACATACGATTAACTAACAGTTGTCCATCTTGAATTACCCTTGACTTAGGGCAATACATTCTGTGTTCATCATTTCTGGCTTTTAAACATTCTATCACGAACAACGACAAAAAGTATCTAACTTATTCTGACATTCTGATGATATTTCTATTAATTCATTTAAATTTTAGCATCAGCCAAAAATAGTCTGAGGCCCAACATACCACAGGTGAAAGTACAGCTTTTTAATAGTGGGTCAAAAAGAATTTGCTATATTTAGCTAGGTATTACAGGATCAATATTACCACCAAACAAACTTATAATCAACCAATACCTCAATCATTAGATACATGACTTGAACAAATCAACTTTCAACTATCAATTTAAGTAATAGGGAGGATTTTTTTTACTTATATCATTTATTATAGTGGCCAGTGGTGGTGGGTTCTGTGATGAACAAGCCTCACTAATAACAAATGCATTGAGGAATAATCCCTCTTACCAAAGGAAGGATTTATAGGCATATAAAACATTTACTACTCAATATTTCTCTATTTAATCTGCTACTTTGTGCTGAAGGAATGTTTAAAGATTTCTCATGACTTTTCTGGTTTTGTTGGTGGTTTTTAATTTTTTCCTATAAAAACTAAGACTATAAAGAATAATAATATCTATGCCCCAACTGATACTACTCAATGTATCATAAATATTCTTTGCTTTCAGATTGAATAATTGCTGTGTCTAAGAGCTACACCTGATATTCTTTCTATGGCTACACTTCCTGAAGTGCAGATTCCCTAAAGTGTAATATCTCTGTATCACCTATATTTTGTCCATTTACTGTGATATAATATTAAAATATTTTGATTATTCACGAATACTCTGGAACATAAAGTTAATTATAGTCCCTTAAAAACCAGAGTGTAGGTGGCCAAAAGTGATACAGACACACTTTGCCACTTGATATATACAACTTGGGTAACATAGATATTCTAATATATCTGGGGACACTAAATAAACTTATCCCTTTCCACTGGAGTATCAAAGGAGCTAATACTTGCAGAAAGGAAAATTCTGAAACCTCTTTTCTCTCACCATGTGGTGAAAGATTAAGGCATTTACATTAAAAAAGTCTATTTATATTTTTGATGGTTTTCTATTAAAACCTTTCCAAAACAGCTCTTATCTACTTTGAGAGAAATTTTAATGTGATATATCCTTGTATTATCATCCAACTGTCCCACTGTGACTGGCTCTTACACTGCAGAGCTGCATAACCCAAATGAAAGCAGAGATTAAGCTCTGCTATAATCTTCTTTCTTGATTGGTACCCTGACCCCTAGTGTCTTTTTTTTTTAGATTGAAAAATGAAAATAAACATTGTGTATATTTATGGTGTAGATAATATGATATTTTGATATATGTATACATTGTGTAATGGCTGAATCAAACTCCTTAACATATTTATTATCTCACATAGTTATTTTATACAGTAAAAGTACTTAAAATCTACTCTCTTAGCAATTTTCAAATATATAATATATTGTTATTAACTGTAGTCACCAAGATATGTAATCGATATCTTGAACCTTTCTTGACTAACTGATATTTTGTGTCATTTGACAAATGTCTACCCAGTCCCTCTACCCCCAGCATTAGGTTAACCACCATATTACTCTCTGTTTCTTTGATATTCAACTTTTTTACATTTCACATATAGGTGAGATCATACAGGATTTTTCTTTCTATGCCTGGCTTATTTCATTTAACATAAATATTTTCTAGGTTCATCCCTGTTGTTGCAAAGAAGACAGAATTTTCTTCTTTGTAAGGGTCAACAGTATTCCATTGTATATATAAACTACATTTTATTCATTCATTGTTCTTTTCTTGGGCACTTTGTTTCCCTATCATGGCTGTTGTGAATAATGCTGCAGTGAACGGCAGACTGTAGAATAATGCTTCAGTGAAAAGGCGAGTGTAGATATTTCTTTGACATACTGATTTTATTTTCTTTGGATGTATTCCCAGTAGTGAGACTCCTGGATTATTGTGTGAACTCTTGTGTTTCTTGAAGATGCTATTATAGAACAATCAACTTATTTTTGCTGATACTCCTTTTGACCCTTCTCAGCACAAGTACTTGTCTTTTAATGAAAGGTATATTATTAGTTCATGGTGGTTTATGGGCAGCCTTATCTTATTCAAATAATCAAGGGGTGCTTCTCCCATCCTTCTGATATGGTCCTAGTAGAAATTTGATTAAATTAAGGAAACATCTATGTCAGGGGAATTAGGCACATGTTTTAATTAGGATGTGTGGCCATCCTGTTAAATTCTTCTTAACCATAAAAAAGCCATTTTTATTTCATCGTCTATATGTTTCCCTGAACAGAAATGTATCATATTCTAGATGTCCTAAACTGTTTATGAAAAGAAACCTGCAACTAATTGTTTCTATTTGTTAATGTATGAGAAGAAAATGCCTAGATAGATTTTTCATCAAATCTGGAAGGTATGATTGAGATGATCTAACTTTAAACACAGAATATAGACATTATACAAAATGTACTTTGACATGCTCAGAAGGGAGTCACTTTGGAGATAGGCAGTCACCAACAAAATAAATGAAATCCAGGTGCAATAAGAGATTAATTTGAATGCAAAGTAGGAAAGCCAAGACTTACATAAAAGAATTCATTAAAACAAAATAAATAATAATTTTAAATATCAAAACATTGAACATGCTCACACTTAGAATAGTAGATATTAACTTGTGAACAAGTTCATTCTCAACAAGCAACTCTATGCCACATGTTTTAGAGTGAGTATACTCGAGCATTAATGTATATTGTATATCTATATGTAATATATATTACAATATTTAATGTATATTGTATATCTATAATGTATATTGTATAACCATATTATATGTAGAAGTACAATATATCATATTTTCTTATTGTTTGAGGATATTAGAGAAAGAAAATGCAGTGCTAAAATAAGGAGTGCAAATGATAAATATCCTGTGTAATGAAGTGCCAAAATGTTGTTAATGCTTCATTATACTTTCCTGATATTAATGCAAGTTAGGTAAATTTTCAATTCTAAAGATATATCCATAATTGGTTTGTTTAAAGATGACATTTGCATAAGCAAAATACAAATACAACTATTTTTGTTTTAGCAGAAATTTTACACTCATTTTATGCCCTTATTACTAACATTTCACAGGATTTGTCACATATATATAGCTCCAACTTCTCAGAGAGGCTGTGCTTACTTCCTTGCTTTAATGACTATTTCTCTTTCAAATGGATTTATTAACAGAAATAAGTATACTCTTTAACAGATGGTTGTCAGAAATCTGCTTACTTCAATAAAATAATTGAGAGTTAACAAACATTTGCAGCTTGATGTGCCATATAGCATCACTGTATTAAGTTGCCATAAGGAATCGAGCACACAGAACACTTTAAAAAGATAACTCATGTTTATGTAGTTTTGATTTCAGCAATATTAAACACATAAAGTGCAGGTGCAAATGACATACCCCAAACTATCAATAACAGTCACTAAACAACGGCTATAATCTTTGGAGCTTACATAAACCCTGCTGAAATGACTGTAAAAATAGGATCAGGTGAGGCCAAAAGAGGGAAAGATTAACTGTAGTTTTTACTCAGAAAAATAATAAGCCAAATGTCTGAATATTTATGATTGATTTTCCTGAAAACTTTTTCTCCAAACATTCTGTATCATAAAATAAATAACTTTAAAAATATCCAACTATTTCAACTGCAATAAAAAGTGTCAGATGAAATGCAATATTAATCTTTCTATACTATATTAAAATTCTCTGTCACTAGTAGTATGTCATTTCAGCATATGAAGGTAAGGCATTATGATTAAGATAAAGCAGAGCTAGACAAACTAAACATTTAATGGGGACAATGTTTAAACTTAGATATTTTTGTTTTAACTGCTGTAGAAAATTAAGACATAAACTAAGAAATATCCCATGAAGGAATGAGTATACTGTTTCTACTTGCAGAAAACGTGTGATCTTTCTTTCTGAACTATCCATTCTCCATGATTCCAAGATTTGTTCTCAATTTATTCACCTGAACACCAATTTAGTCTATTACGTATTACATATGTTAACATATACACACCTCCATATTAACTTATTGTATCTAGTTTAATAATTTAAAGTTATCCTATTAGTCTGCAAGCTACATTAGATTATAGTATTCACACTTCCTAATGCCTCAACAAAAAAGTTGGGGTACAAGAATAAATCAGTGGAATATATGGGGAAAATATTTTACAATATTTTGAAATATAATTTATAAAATTTATTTTTCTATAAAAGAAATTACAAAAATAAATTATTCTGCTGAAATTACACATTAGAATTATTTGCTTTATATTTTATAAGGCTAAATATAGCCCAAACCTGTAAATACAGTATTTGCCAATTAATCTGACCCTATTAAAAATGGAGTTAGTAGCCTCTCATCCTTTAATTAGGCCAAAAAATAGAACCAATTTGAAAAGCTGAAATTTCTGATGGTGATTGATTTCAATATGTTTTAAAATATCAATCAGAGGATAGGGTCTAGTGTTTTAACAATGGTCGAAAATGATCTTCTTTCAAAGTATTGGCTGATAAATGTACATTTAGGTTTTTAATATTTGCTTATCTTTCTCCTGGCATTGATCATGTATCTTGCATGGAAGGAATTAAAATGTTAAAGGAGCTGGAGAGCCATGCACTAGTGATTTTATCTGAGTGAATGAGTAGAGCAGTACCCTAACTCTGCTGTCAGACACAATTACAATCCTTTATGCCAGTGAAAGTGGTAGTCTGTGGGATGGCATCCACATATTGTGGGATGGAGACTCAAAATTTCTTCCTGTCTTTGGGTTAAGGAAATAATGTCATAGAGCAGGGACTCCTTCCCTTTACACAGAAGAGTTATTTAATATTACCTCTTATTTTGTTTTTTTTCTTTTACTTCATTTTTGTGAGAATCAGTATAACAAACTCATATTTAGATCTATTTCAGAGAAGATATTCTTAGTCCAATTATTCCTCAAAAACATTTTATGTTAATGTCTTCTACATAATATTAAAAATATTTCCAGTTAATGATTTATGTTGAATGATTTCTCTCTTGGCAAGCTAGGCAGCACAAGCACATCACAAACATACACACATGCACACACACACACACAAATACACAAGAAATAAAACCTCAAAAAGAAGATACATTTTGATGAGGAAAATAAGTCAGGAAGACCTATATTTTATCACATGCCAAAGACAGATGTTGTAACAGAACATGGATTTGGCCAGCAAGAGATAGAGTTTACAGAACTAAAATGAAGGTTGACCAAGGTCAAATATGGCAAAGATATGCTGATCATCAACTCTTTCCAAAAATGTCTGAGGGTTAGTAGGGGCTTAAGGAATGAACAAATGTAAGTGGAGGCAATTCCCTATTGGAAAAAGACAATATACCAAACTAAATGTATTTATTTTGTTATCTCCTTGGTTTTCTTGGCCTGACCTTCTCTAGGGCCATGTTTGTGCAATTTCTTACAAGTTGTGCCTACTAGCTGTAATTGAGTTTAATGTATATCACTTTAGCAATAGGAATTAGATAATTGTTTATTTTTAATCTTTTTTTAAATTAGTATTTTATTAAATGTATGTCATTTGTATTTATGAAATGTATGTCTTTTTAACTTGGAAAATAAATCACACGTGTTTCAAATGATGAAAAATCTAGTATGCTTTTAGTGAATAGGCAGAGAAATAGTTCTGTAATCTAATATTTAGGATAGGAGAGAAGTTTAAAATATTTATCCTAAATGATGACAATAATTTTCTATTAGGAATATATATCCTCCCCTGTACTATGACTAACATTTTAGTAGTAATAGTATAAATTTAGTGGAGAGATTTTCACAATATAACTAAAACTTGCAATTAATCTACTAAAGTTTAAATAAACAAATCCTGCAGTACTTTTAAAAATTCTTCTCTATTTGTGAGTTGTAAAAGTAAAAAACACAAAACTAAATACTGAAAACGTATTACTTCTATCATTAAAAACTTTAAAGTTTGACTTCTATAGACATACTTGGAAATGTTCCTGATTAAAACAAAATAATTCTCAAAATATACTTTTTGAAAATAATTCTCAAATATAATTCTCAAAATAGTTCTCAAAATATATTTTTTGAATGATGTGGGCAGTTGGTATATTAAAAATAGACAAAAACATTAAAATTCTCCCTGAATATGAAGAGTTATATGAAAAAATTATATAACTTTAAATATTTGAAATATCTAATACAAATTACTTATAACTATAAAATATCTTGGCTATTATATTTTTAAATTTTTCAGTATATATGACATGGATGACACTTTCAGTCATTTATATTAGTGTAGTTTACTTCAATTTTTTTCTTTCTGTTATGCATTGTTTTTGTTTAATCAATTATTTTTAATATTTTTTACATTCTATTTTCATTTTTTCTATTTTACTAATTGTATTGTTTGCACTATTCATTTTAATATGTATCATTAACTTATCACAATCTACCTAATACCTGATTTTAAGTTCTTTTCTAATGATTCCAATATCTGGGTCATCCTAGAGTCTATTTTGATGGTGCTTTATTTTTAATATTTTATTGTTAGTAGTAATGGCAATAGTAGTTACATTTTCCTACTTTACACTTTTTATTTTGTTAAGTTAATATTTGACATTGTGGATGCTATCATCTAAAGCGCCTGAATTATTATTTTTTTTTAGGTATTGTGTATTGTTATGTTATAGTATTGTTATGACAGGTGGTCATATTACTGATGAATCTGCTTCATCTATTTAGGTAAATTTTTATTTTTGTTAAGATTGATCACTTTCAGTTTTGTCTTATAAATAGGTTGTGACATATAACTTAGATTATGGCCTTCACTTTCACTTTGACTAGCATGGAACTCCAATGTCCTCATCACTGCATGAATCCTGGTATTTCTGTTATCTGTCAGCTGCACAGTATCTTCTTTCTGCTAATCTGAATCTTTCCTGGTACATACAAAACCTGCCTCTTAATCCCAAAACCACAGGAAGCTTTGTCACAGGCTTCTACCATTCCTCTTGGAGAATTCACCCCTCTAGTTGTCTGTCCCCAAGTTCCAGGAACTTCAGTGATCCTGAACTCCAGTCTCTGCCTGTTCAGTTAAGTTCAGGTCTACTTGGACTCAACCTACCTACCCAGCCTGATGGGCAGAAAGCCTGGGCAAACACGCATTGACCTTGTGTGTCTCTCCGCTATCAAACATCATATTTTGTATTGGCTACTGTCAATCTTTTTAAACAATCGTCTCATATATTTCATGAAGTTGTTGTTTTTTTTCGTTGTTTTTGTTTTGCTTTGTTTCGTTTTGTTTTGAGATGAGGAGTCTCGCTCTGTCCCCCAGGCTGGAGTGCAGTGGTGCCATCTTGGCTCACTGTAACCTCTGCCTCCCCAGTTCAAGCTATTCTCCTGCCTCAGCCTCCTGATTAGCTGGGATTACAGGCGCCCGCCACCACACCTGGCTAATTTTTTGTATTTTTAGTAAAGACAGGGTTTCACCATGTTAGCCAGGATGGTCTCGATCTCCTGACCTTGTGATCCGCCCACCTTGGCCTCCCAAAGCTGGGATTACAGGAGTGAGCCACCATGCCCGGCCTATGAAGTTTTAAAGTTCGTTACACCAGGAGACTGTGTCTTATACCAGTCATTCCATTATGGCTACAAAGTGTAACACCAATGATCCAATATTTTTTATTAATTAAATATACATGTTGCCTTCTTAAAAAAATTAACCTTGACTTTATTCTGACTTTCAAGTTTTAGTTTGAAGTCCATACATTCTTCAAGCTAATCTCTTAAAAAGCTTAGTATTCACTGGGGAGTACATGATTATAATAGAAATTATTTATACTATTTTGAGTGACAAACGACTAATATGTGATATATCTGCCATACCATTCTCAAAGTGCTTTCCTCAATTTTATATAAGAATGTTTCAAAGACTGTACTGTTAGGAGAAATTATTTATAAATTTAGTAAAGCTTTTTAAAAGCATGCTGATTTGTGAGGTTTATTATTGTCAGAAAACAAGGAGCTGCAAATAGCAAGGAAGGAACAATAGAACGAACCCGCTGGCACTGAGTTAGAAGCCTATATGAATATGAACAAGTATATGTGGTTACATAGATATATAACTGTGTAAGGATATAAGGATATGTCTTTACGCAAGGGCTAGAATGCATACATATAACCTCTTCCTTTATTTGCTGCAAGGGTCTAGAAGCAGTAATACTCAAATAGCAAGAAACATAAATAGTGCCTAGATCTTGGTTTCTAAGTAGAAAGTTCCAAAACAAGAAAAAAGTCAATAATGAAATGATTGATTGTAAGGTTGAATCATATAAAATACAGTTTTAACAAACATAATGACGTTTTAGTCAACTCAGCAATGGACTGTATATATAAAGGTGATTCAATAAGATTAAAATAAAGCTGAAAATTCCTATGACCCAACGATGTTATAGTTGTCATGTCATAGCAACACAGCAACATGTTACTGACATGTTTATGGTGATGCTGATATAAAGAAGCCTATTGTGCTGAAAGTCATATAAAAGTATAGCACATACAATTTTGTACTTGATTGATAATAAATGACTGTTACTGGTTTCTGTATTCTGGTATTCTGTATTCTGTATTCTGTATTCTGGTACTATATGTTGTATCAGTATTTTAGAATGTACTCCTTGTACTTACTGGAAAAAGTAACTATGAAACAGCCTCAGGGAGGTCTTGTAAGAGGTAGTCTAGAAGAAGGCATTGTTATCATTGGAGATGACAGCTCTGTCTGTGCCTGTTATTGCCCATGAAGACCTTCCAGTGGACAAGATGTGCAGGTGGTAGGCAGTGATATTGATGATCCTGACCCTGGGTAGGCCAAGGCTAATGTGTGTGTTTGAGTCTTAGTTCTTAACAAAAATTTTCAAAAGTAAAAAAAATTAAAAATTAAAATTTTATAAATATAAAAAATCTTGAAAACATTTTGTTCAGCTGTACAATGAGTTCATGTTTTAAATAAAAGCTTGAAAAAGTTCAGAAAAAGTTTATAAAGTAAAAAAGTTACCATAAAGTTAATTTATTTTTTAAAAAGTTTTTATAAATGTATCCTAAATGTTCAGTGTTTGTAAAGTCTACAGTAGTGTACGGTAATGTCCTACACCTTCACATTCACTCACAACTCACTCACTGACCCAGTGCAACGTCCAGTCTGTCAAGCTCCATTCACAGTAAGTGCCCTGTAGAAGTGTACCATTTTTAATCTTTTATACCGTATTTCTTCCATTTTCCCCCAATTGAAAGGTGCAATGACTGGTCAAGGACCAGTTGGATCATCACAGAAGCAGAGGTTGTCAAACAAAAGGCTCTGACAGTTTTATAGACTATGAAGGATCCCCAAACAAGTTTTATCCCCATAGTGTATAGGCTATGAAGGATCCCCAGACAATGTCTATAAACAGTTTTATAGACATTGGAGTCTGAGGGAGGGGAAGGAGGAAAGGGTTAGAAGTGGAAAGTACTGGGTATTCAGTCAGAGTGGGCAGAAGCGTTTTGAACATTTCCCCACTGTACTGGTAACAAGGTCTTGGCAGAGACACCTAAATAAGACTTCTGTCGATGGTCTCAGATAGAGAGATGTAGAGATAGTCTTAGATATAGAGATGTAGAGATGAAGGTGCTGGGGCTAGGAATGAAAATGTGCTAAGCATTTGACCATACAGAAGGGACAGTTCTTGAATGAAACTCCCTTCAGAGACTACAATGCACTGGCTGTGTCCCAGATCTGTGTGGTGAGGATAGCTTTCCCCAGTGAGGCCTGCCTGATAAAGCCTTTGCAAGTGCAAATGATCAGGCCTGAAAAATCACACTCAGCTTTTTAACCAGGAGCTGCTGTCTTCAATGTTAAAAGGGAACATGAATCAACCAGAAAGAGTTCTTCATGTATACCCACGGTCCAAAACAACAACAACAACAACAACAACAGCAACAAAAAACAAACCCCAAAACCAAAGAAATAAAAAACAACAGGATTAGAGGATAACTCAAATAAACACAAAGTCGCCATTAGAACATGTCAACAATAATTGCTGCATATTAAAATTAGTGGATGCTTGGATACAGCAACAGAGTAGTGGAACTAATAGCTAAACATTCTCCAAGGATAAGAGCTTCCTAAATTACCTGCCCCATCAAAAGCAGGAGAGAAGGAGAGAGACCTACTGCCGGGAAGTCTTTGTCCCAACTGGATCCTCCAACACTCTGAGAATCTCCCATCCTCAACACAGTTTCCATCCCAGAACCCCCAAGAGGTTGAGAGGATTAAAAAGCCCTACTTTGTCATGTATTATCAATAAAGTATACTGTAATCAGGCTAAAATACCACTACTACTACTACTACTACTGATGGGTGGAACTTAAAGGAGAAACAAGATATTTGCATACTCTCCATAGTATCTCCCATAGACTATTTCTTATCTGCTGTATTTAACATATATTCAGGTATGTTTTCAACACATATTTTAGCATTTTTTTATACCTATGTAATTTGATGTTCTCTCTCTGGGAGTTGGAGCTTAATTTACACCCCCTCCCCACCCCCTAAAGAGTGAGCTGGACTTAGCGACACATTTCCAATGAATGTAGAAGTACAAATATGTATACATGGAATGCAAAAACAAGTAATCTAACAGACATTTTATTAGTCCATTTGTGTTGCTATAACAAAATAACTGAGTGGATAATCTATTAAAAAAAAAGAAATTCATTTTTCAGTCTGGAGGTTGGAAGTCCAAGGCACCGGGAGGTTCGTTGTCTGGTGAGGGTACTGTCTCTGCTTCCAAAATGACACCTTGTTGCTCTACTCTGGGGAGCGGACAAATACAGTGTCCCCATAGGTGAAATGCATAGAAGGACACAAGGACTAAATTCACTTGCTCAAGCCCTTTTAACCCATTCGTGATGGCAGAGCCCTTATGAACTAATCACTTCCCATGGGCCTTATGTCTTACTGCCATTACCTCGGGGATTAAGTTCCGACATACAAAATTTGGAGGGACACATACATTCAAACCATAACATCCTCTTAGCTATGTGATCAAGTTAGCACCACTATTAAAATTAATGACATCATGCTCCTTCTTATATCATTTAATGAGAAAGATATTTCTTCTGTGTGAATTTCAAAAAAACAAAATCAAAAACTCCAGTCTAATGAGAAAAATATAGCACAAATCTAAATAAAGAGAGTTATACAAAATAACCAATGCTATTCAAAAGTGTCAAGGTAATAAAAACCAGTGAAAGACTAAGAAACTGTCACAGACTGGTGAAGACTAGAGTCCACCACCTTTTCGGTGTATTCAAGCAACTAAGCACAATATAATATCCTGAGTTGGATACTGGATTAGAAAAAAAAAAAAAAAAACTGTAGTGGGGAATCTGGCGAAATCCAAATAAAGTCTATAGTTTAATTAATGGTATATTAACAGCAATACTTTATCACTTTGGTAATATCATTGCTAGGTATTTTTAGGAACATTCAGGAAAACAGGTAAAGGGTATTCAGGAATTCATTGAGGCTCTTTTACTTTTCAGCAATTGTAAAATTACTTAAGAAAAAGTTTAAAATAAAAGCATATTGATTTAAAAAGGAAAGAATATTCTTTGATCTTGTAAAATCTTTTATATTCTCAGATTAATGAGGAGTCAAACTGACACGGGTATGTTTTTACTTTCATATCTTTCAAACGCTGTTCTTCATTTTTCTGGAAACTTGAACTTATTAAATTGGATTTGAGATAAAAGTTGCCCACCTATAACATTTGATTTTCAACTGTTTTCCTTTCTCTGGTATTATTATACAGTTCTCCTTAATTCTCCAAAAGTTACATGAAAACAACCTTTTTTATTTATCATTCATGAAGTTAACAATTGAGATTATTTCAATGTCATTCACTGGACACAGAAATAGAAGAAACATAGCCCATGACCCTAACAAGTCATGTACATAAAGAATTATAAGATTTATAATATAATTATGGTTGGTCATAAAGAGGAAACACAGGGGTTTTACTTAGTGAACAGAAATAAGTTTCAGGAAAATCTTCATGAGATGCATATTCAATCTGATTCAATGCACATCTACAAAAATACTGATTTAAAAATTAATAAAAATATTATTTGCATTTTTACTTTTGCACATCTCTTGCAGATAGCTTAAAATTGTTTCTTTTTTGACTAATTTTTGAAACAAAAACAGAACATATGTTCATATATATAAGCATGTGATTACATTTGAATTGATAAACATATATATGATATCAACCCTTTCAGGCAGGGGCATACTGGAGTACACATTATACTAACACATTCTTATTTTCTCATCGTTTTACTATCTTCTGGACTTGGGAAACTAAATAACAATCACTAAATATCATAATATCAATTTTAGTATCTATTATATGTATTTGCTTCAGATTGTGAAATATCAAAAAGTTGCACTTCAATCCCCAAAATATTATTTGGAGATTGAAACAGAAATCAAACAACAAAATGCTAAAATGTCGAGAATATGATTGCAACAGAAATATTTTCATTTGCATTTTAACTCAAAACACAAAATGTATTATAACAGTATATTTTGATTACTCAGACAGAAGCATTTTGGAATATCTAATTTTCATATTTGATTTTTTCCTGTTAGGTTCAGGGAATACATGTGCAGGTTTGTTGCACGGGTGAATTGTGTGTTTCTGAGGCTTGATATGTGAATGATCCTGTAACCAAGGTAGTGAGCATAGTGTTGAATAGATAGCCTTCTAACCCACAGAGGCTTCCCCACCCTCCCCCTTCAAGCAGTCCCCAGTGTCTATTGTTACCTTTTCATGTCTACGTCTATTCAATGTCTAGCACCCACCTATAAGTAAGAACATGTGGTATTTGGTTTTCTGTTCCTGTGTTAGTTCACTTAGGATAATGGCCTCCAGCTGCATCCATGTTGCTGCAAAGGACCTGATTTTATCTGCTTTATGGTGGCTTAGTATTCCGTGATGTATTTGTACCCTATTTTCTTTTTTATTATTATACTTTAAGTTCTGGAATACATGTGCAGACCATGCAGGTTTGTTATATAGTCATACGTGTGCCATGGTGGTTTGTTACACCCATCAACCCGTCATCTACATTAGGTATTTCTCCTAATGCTATCCCTCCCCTTTACCTCCACTCCCCAACAGGCCCCGGTGTGTGATGTTCCCTTCCCTGTGCCCCTATGTTCTCATTGTTCAACTCCCATTTATGAGTGAGAACATATGGTGTTTGATTTTCTGTTCCTGTGTTGGTTTGCTGAGAATGATGGTTTCTAGCTTCATCCATGTCCCTGCAAGGGACATGAACTCATTCTTTTTTATGGCTGCATAGTATTCCATGCTGTATATGTGCCACATTTTCTTTATCCAGTCTAACAATGAGGGGCATTTAGGTTGGTTCCAAGTCTTTGCTCTTGTGAATAGTGCCACAATAAACCTACGTGTGCATGTGTCTTTATAATAGAATGATGTATGATCCTTTGGGTATATACCCAGTAATAGGATTGCTGGGTCAAATGGTATGTCTAGTTCTAGATCCTTGAGGAGTTGCCACACTGTCTTCCACAATGGTTGAACTAAGTTACACTCCCATAACAGTGTAAAAGCGTTCCTATTTCTCCACATCCTCTCCAGCATCTGTTGTTTCCTGACTTTTTACTGATTGCCATTCTAACTGGCGTGAGACATTATCTCACTGTGGGCTTGATTTGCATGTCTCTAATGACCAGTGATGATGAGCTTGTTTTCATACATTTTTTGGCCACATAAATGTCTTCTTTTGTGAAATATCTGTTTATATCCTTCGCCCACTTTTTGATGGGGTTGTTTTTTCTTGTAAATTTGTTTTAGTTCCTTGTAGATTCTGGATATTAGCCCTTTGTCAGATGGATAGATGGCAAAAATTTTCTCCCATTCTGTAGGCTGCCTGTTCACTCTGATGATAGTTTCTTTTGCTGTGCAGAAGCTCTCTAATTTAATTAGATCCCATTCGTCAATTTTGGCTTTGTTGCAATTGCTTTTGGTATTTCAGTCATGAAGTGTTTGCCCATGCCTATATCCTGAATGGTATTGTCTAGGTTATCTTCTAAGGTTTTAATGTTTTTAGGTCTTATGTTTAAATCTTTAATCCATCTTGATTTAATTTTTGTATAAGGTGTAAGGAAGGGGTCCAGTTCCAGTTTTCTGCATATGGCTAGCCAGTTTTCCCAACACCATTTATTAAATAGGGAATCCTTTCCTCATTGCTTGTTTTCGTCAGGTTTGTCAAAGAGCAGATAGTTGTAGATGATGGTGTTATTTCTGAGGCCTCTGTTCCATTCCATTAGTCAATATATTTGTTTTGGTACCAGTACCATGCTGTTTTAGTTACTGTAGCCTTGTAGTATAGTTTGAAGTTAGGTAGCATGATTCCTCCAGCTGGGTTCTTTTTGCTTAGGATTGTCTTGCCTGTACAGGCTCTTTTTTGGTTCCATATGAAATTTAAAGTAGTTTTTTCTAATTCTGTGAAGAAACTCAATGGTAGCTTGATGGGAACAGCATTGAATCTATAAGTTACTTTGGGCAGTATGACCATTTTCACGATATTGATTCTTCCTATCCATGAGCATGGAATGTTCTTCCATTTTTTTGTGTCCTCTCTTGTTTCCTTGAGCAATGGTTTGTAGTTCTCCTTGAAGAGGTCCTTCACATGCCTTGTAAGTTGTATTGCTAGGTATTTTATTCTCTTTGTAGTATTGTGAATGGGAGTTCATTCATGATTTGGCTCTCTGTTTATCTGTTATTGGTGTATAGGAATGCTTGTGATTTTTGCACATTGATTTTGTATCCTGAGACTTTGCTGAAGTTGCTTAACAGCTTAACGAGATTTTGGGCTGAGATGCTGGGGTTTTCTAAATATACAATCATGTCATCTGCAAACAGAGATTATTTGACTTCCTCTTTTTCTAGTTGAATAATTTTTATTTCTTTCTCTTGCCTGATTGCCCTGGCTAGAACTTCCAATACTATGTTGAATGGGAGTGGTGAGAGAGGGCATCCTTGTTTTGTGCCAGTTTTCAAAGGGAATGCTTCCAGCTTTTGCCCATTCAGTATGATACTGGTTGTGGGTTTGTCATAAATAGCTCTTATTATTTTGAGATACGTTCCATCCATACCTAGTTTATTGAGAGTTTTTAGCATGAAGGGGTGTTGAAATTTATCAAAGGCCTTTTCTGCATCTATTGAGATAATCATGTGGTTTTTGTCATTGGTTCTGTTTATGTGATGGATTACATTGATTGATTTGCATATGTTTAAACAGCCTTGCATCCCAGGGAGGAAGCTGACTTGATCATGGTGGATAAGCCCTTTAATATGCTGCTGGATTCTGTTCGCCAGTATTTTACTGAGGATTTTTGCATCGATGTTCATCAGGGATATTGGCCTGAAATTTTCTTTTTTTGTTGTGTCTGTCAGGTTTTGGTATCAGGATGATGCAGGACTCATAAAATGAGTTAGGGAGGAGTCCCTCTTTTTCTGTTGTTTGGAATAGTTTCAGAAGGAATGGTACCAGCTCCTCCTTGTACCTCTGGTAGAATTCAAATGTAAATCTGTCTGGTCCTGGGCTTTTTTTTTTTGGTTGATAGGCTATTAATTACTGCCTCATTTTAAGACCTTATTATTGGTCTATTCAGAGATTCGACTTCCTCCTGATTTAGTCCTGGGAGGGTGTATGTGTCCAGGAATATATCCATTTCCTCTAGATTTTCTAGTTTATTTGTATAGTGGTGTTTACAGTATTCACTGATGGTAGTTTGTATTTCTGTGAGATCAGTGATGATCTCTCCTTTATAATTTTTTTAAGTGTCTATTTGATTCTTCTCTCTTTACTTCTTTATTAGTCTGGCTAGTGGGCTATCTATTTTGTTAATCTTTTCAAAAAACCATCTCCAGGATTCACTGATTTTTTGAAGGGTTTTTCGTGTCTCTATCTCCTTCAGCTCTGCTCTGATATTAGTTATTTCTTGTCTTCTGCTAGCTTTTGAATTTGCTTGCTCTTGCTTCTCTAGTTCTTTGAATTCTGATGTTAGGGTGTCGATTTTAGTTCTTTCCCACTTTCTCCTGTAGGCGTTTAGTGCTATAAATTTCCCTCTAAACATTGCTTTAGCTGTGTCCCAGAGATTCTGGTACATTGTGTCTTTGTTCTCACTGGCTTCAAATAAGTTATTTATTTCTGCCTTAATTTCATAATTTACCCAGTAGTAGTTCAGGAGTTTGTTCAGTTTCTGTGTATTTGTGTGGTTTTGAGTGAGTTCCTTTTTTTTTTTTTTTTTTTAGACGGAGTCTTGCTCTGTCACCAGGCTGCAGTGCAGTGGCACCATCTCGTCTCACTTCAACCTCTGCTTCCCCGGATCAAGTGATTCCCCTGCCTAGCTGGGACTACAGGTGTGCACCACCACACCCAACTACTTTTTTGTATTTTAGTAGAGGCAAGGTTTCACCATGTTGGTCAGGATGGTCTCGATCTCCTGACCTCATGATCTGCCTGCCTTGGCCTCCCAAAGTGCTGGGATTACAGGTGTGAGCCACCACGCCCAGACGTGAGTTTCTTAGTCCTGAGTTCTAATTTGATTGCCCTGTGGTCTGAGAGGCTGTTATGATTTCCATTCTTTTGCAGTTGCTGAGGAGTGTTTTACTTCCAATTACGTGGCCGATTTTAGAATAAGTGGTATGTGGTGCTGATTAGAATGTATATTCTGTTTATTTGGGGTGGAGAGTTCTGGAGATGTCTATTAGGTCCACTTGGTTCAGAGCTGAGTTCAAGTCCTGAATATCCTTGTTAATTTTCTCACATTAATCTGTCTACTATTGACAGTGGCGTTTTAAAGTCTCCTGTGATTATTGTGTGGGACTCTGAGTCTCTTTGTAGGTCTCTAAAAACTTGCTTTATGAATCTGGGTGCTCCTGTATTGTGTACATATATATTTAGGATACTTAGCTCTTCTTGTTGCATTGATCCCTTTACCATTATGTAATGAGCTTCCATGTCTTTTTGATCTTTGTTGGTTTAAAGTCTGTTTTATCAGAGACTAGGATTGCAACCCCTGCTTTTTTTTTTTTTTCTTTCCCTTTGCTTGGTAAATCTTCCTCCATCCCTTTATTTTGAGCCTATGTGTGAGTTTCTGTGTATGGAATTGGTGGGTTCTTGGTCTCGCTGACTTCAAGAATGAAGCTGCGGATGCTTGTGGTGGGTGTTACAATTCTTAAAGATGGTGTGTCTGGAGTTTGTTCCTTCAGATGTTCAGATGTGTCCGGAGTTTATTCCTTCTGGTGGGTTCGTGGTCTTGCTGACTTCAGGAGTGAAGCTGCAGACCTTCGCAGCGAGTGTTACAGCTCTTAAAGGTGACACATCTGGACTTGTTCGTTCTCCCGGTGGGTCTGTGGTCTTGCTGGCTTCAGGAGTGAAGCTGCAGACATTCGCAGTGAGTGTTACAGCTCATAAAGGCAGCATGGACCCAAAGAGTGAGCAGCAGCAAGATTTATTGTAAAGAAAGAACAGAGCTTCCACAATGTGGAAGGGGAACCGAGTGGGTTGCCGCTGCTGGTTCGGGTGGCCTGCTTTTATTTCTTTATCTGGCCCCACGCACATCCTGCTGATTGGTGCATTTTACAGAGAGCTGATTGGTCCATTTTGACAGAGTGCTGATTGGTGCATTTACAATCCCTGAGCTAGACACAGAGCACTGATTGGTGCATTTACAAACCTTGAGCTAGACACAGAGTGCTGATTGGTGTGTTTACAAACCTTGAGCTAGACACAGAGCACTGAATGGTGCATATACAATCCTCCAGCTAGACATAAAAGTTCTCCAAGTCCCCACCCGACTCAGGAGCCCAGCTGGCTTCGCCTAGTGGATTCCACGCCAGGACCACGGGTCGAGCTGCCCGCCAGTCCCACGCCGTGTGCCCGCACTCCTCAGCCCTTGGACAGTTGATCAGACCGGGCACTGCGGAGTAGGGGGTGGCGTCCATTGGGGAGGCTCGGGATACGTGGAAACCCATGGGGGTGGGGGGGAGCTCGGGCACGGTGGGCTGCAGGTCTTGAGCCCTGCCCTGTGGGGAGGCAGCTGAGGCCCGGTGAGAATTCGAGCGTGGTGCGGGCGGGCCGGCAGTGCTGGAGGACCCAGCACACCCTCTGCAGCTGCTGGCCTGGGTGCTAAGCCCCTCACTGCCTGGGGCCGGCAGCGCCAGCTGGCTGTTCCGAGTGCAGGGCCCACTGATCCTGCGTCCACCTGGAACTCACGCTGGCCTGCGAGCCCTGCATGCAGCCCCAGTTCCTGCCTGCGCCTCTCCCTCCACACCTCCCCGCAAGCAGAGGGAGCAGGCTCTGGCCTTGGCCAGCCCAGTGAGGGTCTCCCACAGTGCAGTAGTTGGCTGAAGGGCTCCTCAAGTGTGGCCAGAATGGACGCTGAGGCTGAGGAGGTGCTGAGAGTGAGCGAGGGCTGCTAGCACATTGTCACCTCTCATTTCCACATGAGATAGGTCTCTTTGCACACTGATGGGTCCTGACTCTACCCAATTTGCCAGTCTGTGCCTTTTAATTGGGGCATTTAGTCCATTTACATTTAAGGTTAATATTGTTATGTGTGAATTTGATCTTGTCATTATGATGCTAACTGGTTATCTTGCCCATTCGTTGATGCTGTTTCTTCATAGTGTCAATGATCTTTACATTTTGTGTTTTTCCTGCAGTGGCTGGTACTGGTTTTTCCTTTCCATATTTAGATCTTCCTTCAGGAGCTCTTGTAAGGCAGGCCTGGTGGTAACAGAATCCCTCAGCATTTGCTTGTCTGTAAAGAATTTTATTTCTCCTTCACTTATGAAGCTTAGTTTGGCTGGATATGAAATTGTGGGTTGAAAATTTTTTAAAGAATTTTGAATATTGGCCCCCATCTCTCCTGGCTTGTAGGGTTTCTGCAGAGACATCTGCTGTTAGTCTGATGGGCTTCCCTTTGTGGGTAACCCAACCTTTCTTTCTAGCTGCGCTTAACATTTTTTCCTTCATTTTAACCTTGGTGAATCTTGTACACTATTTTCTTTTTCCAGTTCACCACTGATGGGAATGTTGGTTGATTCCACGTCTTTGCTATCATGAAACAGTGTTGTGATGAACATACGAGTGCACGTCTTTTTGGTAGAATAATATATTTTCCTTAGGTTATACACACAATAGTGAGATGCTAAGTTGAATGGTAGTTCTGTTTTAATTACTTTGAGAAATCTACACACTGCTTTCCACAGTGGCTGAACTAATTTACATTCCCACTAGCAGTGTTATAAGTATTCCCTTTTCTCCACAACCTTGCCAGCATCTGCTATGTTTTTGATTTTTTAGTTTTAGCCATTCTGACTGGTGTGAGATGGTATCTCCTTGTGGTTTTAATTTGCCATCCTCTGATGATCTGTGATGAGGCTTTTTTCATGTATTTGTTGGCCATAAGAATGTTTTCTTCTGAGAAGTGTTGGTTCAGGTCCTCTGCTCATTTTTAATGAAGTTGTTTGTTTTCTGCTTGCTGATTTAAGTTCCTTTTAGATTCTTGATATTAGACCTTTGTCAGATGCATAGTTTGCAAATAATTTCCCCTATTCTGTAGGTTGTCTGTTTATTGGTAGTTTCTTTTGCTGTGCAGAAGCTCTTTAGTATATTTAGGTTCCACTTGTCAATTTTTGTTTTGGTTGCAATTGTTTTTGGGGACTTAGTCATACATTCTTTGCTAAGGCTGATGTCCAGATGGTATTTCCTAAGTTTTCTTCTAGTGTTTTTATTGTTTTAGGTCTTACATTTTACCTGATTTGATGATATGTCTTCACTTTCCCCCACATCACTGTGTATCAGAGATTCAGAATGTCCATGAGAAATGACGTAATGCTACAGAAGATAGATATTTTGGAAAATTCTTCTAGTTGTCAATCTAACAACACACACTATTTTTGCATCATGGTAGTGAATTCGCTATTTTTAAAGTATATAATCAGTTTGTTATACTGATTCTGATATCATACAAATAAAATTTCAAGTCTCATGATTCCAGATTGGCTTTGAAAGGAATGTTTAGCATTGTTTTGTATTCATTATCTAAATGCCATTAACTGCTTTATTTGATACAGAGGTTGCTTTTATATTGCACTCCTTAGTTTGCTTCAATTTGTAACTATCATTTATTTTGTGATAGTTCTATGAGTAAGTTCCCATGTCATACCTTAAGTAAACTATTATAAATTTGCTAATATGATTTCAGACATTGTCTGACATTTATGTTGCTTTAACCACGCTCTTGATGGAGCTTCTGTTATATGTATGACAGTCTGTTAAATATCAATTTATCCTTATCTTAAATGTATATGTGACATTGTACATACAAGAATTATCTAGCAAAACTCATTAAATATAAATAGTAAAAATACATTGCACACAATCTTGAATATCAGATGGATGTTTCTGGAAGAAAAGTATAGGTTTTCCCTTAGCATCAGTATTAGCTTTCATATGGTGTTTGTTTGTTTGTTTGTTTTTAAAGAGTTGTAAAGTCACTGTTAAAATATCAAAAATATTTCTAAAAATATATTATCAAAATTCATCAAAAATAATATTTTTAATGTTAGAAATGTCTACAGTTGACACTGAGGATGTGTACTTGAGTATTTCATAGAAAGAAAATGGAAATACACTCATAATTAAAATAATTTTGATACTACCTTAACAATCCATAAAATGGCACATCTTTGGGTTTAATTTTACTGAAAATTTTTTTTTACTATCTATTTTGGAAAACATTTGAAGAATTTTATTCAAGGAGAATTTGCAAAAAGTATGAAGGTTTTAAAGGAGAATGCAGGATATGTCAAGAGGTTAACTATTTAAGAAATAGCACTTGGCTGTGATCTATGTTATACTTCATTAAACAATTCCATAATTGCTTTGAAATTATAACTAAGCACATTTTAGTATAAATAGTAGACATATATTTCTTAATTTTAGCTTTTATGCTTGTCTTTACTATAAAAATCATATTTATTTCAACAGATAAAATTCTTACTTTCTATTAAGGGTCGACTTATTACTTCTCTAATGAACAATATAAGCATGATAATTTTTCAAGTCATTTTCTCCTCTATTGAATTATAATAATTCTCACCACCTACTTCAAAAGTATGGATTAAAGAACAACAGCAGCCAGGTGCGGTGGTTCACACCTGTAATCCCAGCACTTTGGGAGGCCAAGGGGGCAGATCGCTTGAGGCTAGGAGTTCTAGACTAGCCTGGCCAATATGGCAAAACCGCATCTCTACTAAAAATAAAAAAAAAAATAAATAAACAAAAAAAAAAAAGAGCCTGGCATGGTGGCACACACCAGTAATCCCTGCTACTATGGAGGGTGAGGTATGAGAATGGCTTGAACCTAGAAGGTGGAGGTTGCAATGAGCTGAGATTGTGCCACTCTGACTCTGTCTCAAAAAAATTTAAAAAAAAGAACAGGAAAATATGTAATTTCTTCAACAGGTTTTTTTCATGTAGCAAAATACAGCAAAAAAAGCATTTCGTGTATCTAAAATTAATGTTTTAGCAAATATGCATTTTATAATTATAATAGACTGTTTTAAGTCCAATTATTACATTTTACCATACTTTAAGCATGAATTCATATATATACATTTAGAATAAATAATGTGTAAATAACTTTTTTCTGGATATCAGAAGAGCAAGAAAAAAATTTCACTTTTGTTATACAGAAACTACTTTTAAAGTATCTAAACATTCCTCCTTATTTGTAAATAGTAATAGGCATACTTGTATTTTTAGCTGTTACATCAGGTGAGAGAATAAAGTATCATTTCATGGTGAGCTACAGCCTCTATAGCAACTGGCAGCCAGAAAAATTACTTTATATATATTTTTAACATGGTGTTTCACATGTTCCTCACATTTTCTTCTAAAGTTTTAGTTTTAACTAACAATATTGTAGGTTTTTAAATATGGAAAGGTGAGAATCAGGCAAAGTTGATCTAAAGTTGGATACTGACAGAGCTTTTAACAGACAACTTCAATTCAATTGCCCAAGATCACACACATATGAATTTGCAGACATGGGATTCAAATTCAGACTCAGAGACCACAGTATTCATATTTTTCATAATTGTCTATAATTGTCTACTTTTTACAGCAAAATGAATCACTATGGAGACCAAGCCAATGAGGAAAGCAGTTAAGTTAAGGAAAGGCCTTTCTGAGAGAATGGAAAAGAGCAATTTTCTTACCTACCTTCTTAGACTCACTATGGACTGAATGCGTGCATCTTTCTTCTTTCTATTCCCCCACAATGCCCAGTGCCCAGGACAATGGACACACTCAGTACAAAATATATATACATACATAGTTAATGAATGGAAGGTGGCTGAAAGAATGCCACACTATTAATCATGGTTACCAGAGGACAGTTTAGGATAGAATCTTGAATTTGCTCTGTCAGGGCAAAAGATACAGCATATAATAGTACTACATCTTATTTCTGGTAATATGGGAAAAAGCTGCTACTATTGTAGTTTGAAAGCTGATCCTTTATTTAACAGCCTATTTTCTCTTTGTACACACCCCTACATTTGAATATACATTCATAACTTTCATTTACACCAAGAATGATATTTCATATACCAAATGCTGCTATCTTATAGATTTAAGGGTAATTCTGATTGATATTGTTCTTCCTGATATTTTATTTAAATCATTCAGACTTGGAAACATATCAAAATGCTTCTCTACTTGTCCCTGGTTTTAGCACCACAGAGCTACATTTTAAAAACTTAACCCCCCACATTCCGTAGACATCCCATAATATGTCCAAGATACATTTACAAACGGAAACATAAAAGTGACCCTGTGTTTCACATATAAAAAGCATATTTCACAGTCAGAATACCCCTTCTGGCTGGCAAAGAGTAAGTATAATGAGCTTCAGTTAAAAGGTATTGCAAAGAACATCCTGCCTGTTAATTTAAGCAATCCGATAAACTGGGCTGTCTCCTGCAAGGTGAAGGACACGTCAGAAACCTTAATGAACATCTTTCTGAATAGCAGTTACAAGCTTAGTTGCTCACCATGGAAGACTGATTAAGTTAGGGAGGATATTACCTTTTTATCCAGTCTTTCTTCTCACATACTTTGCCACTGAGATTGAACTAGCTAGTGTCTGCAGTGCAAAGATAGCATTGCTCAAAGCATCTGTGTCCTGTAAATCCAGATAGAATCACTTATGCTGGAAGTTCTTTATCTAAGTTCTTGCCACTGATTATATAGTTGTCCTCTATATACAAGTAAATATTACAACATATTTAAATCAATGGAAAAAGTGATGGAAATTATTCTTGGATAAAATTATATTTCAAAGGAAAGAATGACTATTTGTGTATTTCAATGCATTTGAGTGTGAATTTCTATTCCTTATTAGGTAAGTCAGGATTCCCTTATATTTAGAAAAAAAAGTCAATTGTCTTTAGAAGATTTATGCATATTTAAATGTTTCATATTTAATAGTTTATGATAGATACATTTTAAACAATCTCACTTGCCAAATAAAGAATCAGAAAAATAATAAAATCATATTACAAATTATTATATATGTTAAGCCTACAGAACAATAGAAATTTAAATGTTGTCTGATGTAGTTTTGTTTATAGGGTGTGTTCATTATTATCAAATTAGCTTTAATAACCTATTTACAGATGCCTGTATGCTAATCTTGATCATAACTGAACCAAGTTAATCCTTCCAGTAATTGTGTAACCCCAAAGAAATAGTAAAACAAACAACAATTGTCTATAAACTAGCTTTTAAAATAGAACTATGTTGTTACCGAAACAACAGGCATCCCCACATTTCCTGTTCAAAGGAAGAGTCTCTCTCAAAGCAAGGAAGACAGTAACCAGTATCTCATGTCAAATGTTTGCACTTCTAAATGGGAGATAAACAATGGATAGACATAGACATAAAGATAGAAATAATATACACTGGGGACACCAAAAGCAGGGAGGGCAGAAGTGGGGATGAGGGTTGAAAAACTATTGAGTACCATGTTTATATTTGGATGATGGGTTCACCAGCAGCCCAAGAGCCAGCATTATACAATATACTCATATGAAAAGCCTGCTTGTGTATGCCCAGAATCTATAAGATTTTTTAAAACTATCTTTTTATAATAGTGTTTTTAAATATTAAACACTATATATGTAAGCTAAAATATAGCTTGGTTTTTAGATTTTTCCTGTTTTTGTTTATTTTCACTTATAATTAAATTATATTGATTATATTAAATAGATTTGGGGGTTCTTTTCAGGGTTTGACTGCTATTTACTCATACAACAAACAGTAAGCATTCACAATTTGGTAGGCCCTATCCATGGTACTAAGAATAGATCAGTTCACAAAATAAACAGAAATTCATGTTTTCATAAAGCTACTATTCTACTGAGGAAAAGAGATTATCTACAAGTTATTAAAATATAGTAGATGAAATGGAAATAAGTACTAAAAAAAAACGAAAAAAAAAAACAAACAGGAAGACAGGTCTGGAGAACATTGTCATTTAGACAGAGCAAACAAGAAGGTCTCACTTAGAGCATGTGCAAAGTTCCTGAGGTGGCCACATGCCAGGCCTGTTTGAAAATCTGCCAATCACATACAGAAATCACCAATTGTTGCCTGTTAGGTTCCCTGAAGGCAGAGGCTGAGAGTGAATTGGAGGGGCAGAATATGTATTAGGGATTAACACACATTAAGTGACAGAAGAAACAGCATTAAGCAGAGAAAAAAGATGAACTCCAATAGTCTGACAAAGCCTCCACCAATTTCGGTGGGAACTCTGGAATGTGCATATTCCTGTTATAATGTTCTCCATGTCTCTGAAATATGTAGGCCTTTATTTGTCATTGGTTATGGGATGCCCAGGGAAGGGTGTGACCTTGAGTAAGATAGCATTCTGAAGCTGAGACAGACCCTGAAGGATCTGAGGATGGCAGGCTGCCTTCTGACCACACTACTCCAGAAGCTAGGGCAGAGTTCTTCCTTGAAGGGGGATCTGGATAGCTAGTCCTTGTGTCTCCCCAACCAATCTGCTACCACTGTAAATTAAGGGTTTGCATAGACAATATGTCATCTGGTCGTTAGCCACTGTTACAGGACTTGCCTCTCTGTTTGAATTTCATCTAGAATTTTGCTAAAAACAGAAGTTTTATAACTAGGTATTTATATAATAATATCCTGCATTTTACAACCTCTTGGTAAACCGTTGCTGAATTTAATAGCATAGCCATTCTGTGCAGCATGTTTTCCCCAACTCTGTGTTATTACTGAACCTAGTGATGTTTCAGCAGTATCTCCAATTTTAAACTGAAGAGACTTCTTGAATCAATAGAACCTCAATTATCTGACGTTGATTTTTAGGACTTGCAATTTCAGCATTTGATTTTAATTTCTCCTTGCATGAATATGGCTCAAATTTGAAATATGAGAAGTATTAGCATTCTTTAGTGTCTTAAATGCTTGTTGAGAATTCTTATTAGTGAGTGAGTTTACATATTGCTTTGATTTCTTTTTTTCAAATATACCATTACTACATGTTTTATTCTTATCCTGGTAGTGTATTTCCCTTTAATCTAATCTCTTGTAATTTGACTTTATAATATTATACCAGACTGAATATACAGTTGTTTGAATCCCATTTTATATATAATTTTTAAAATTTTCAAATTGTTATTGAAGGAATACATGGATCATATTACACATCTGCCATTTCTTCAACTAATATAAGCAATAATTGTTTTGATATTTATTTATTTTTTAAAATTTGAATATTACCTATAAAACATGGGGATAGCTGCAGGAAAAAATCTTAAGTGTAATGAAGTGGAGACACTGTAAAAACATCATGTTGGGGAAAATATTACTGAAGAAAAGAATGATAGTGGCTTTTTAGAGTGGATCAATAGGAGACATATTCCTTGAGGTCAAACGACTGGTGAATTATTAATGTAGGAATTTTTCTGTCTGATAATGCATTAGTTTTCTATCATTGTTCAGTATTGTGCCATGTGATATCTGAATTACACACCACCTCCAGCAAATGTCTTTACCTCTTATAAACTGTGAGAAAATGGAAGATAGCAACCTCCCACAATAAAACTCTCAATCCTCCCAATATTAGTACACATTGTGTCACTGTTTCCTCTATCAAAAATAAGTTGTCCGTATATATCAAAAGATAACCCTTTTCTGCCTTTTCAGGAAACTATGCTTCTTCAGGTTAGTAATTTTTACACATGTATTTCCTTTGCTTTTTCTAATATATAACATTTAGACAATGCATACTATTTAATATGCACTGATCTAGAACAAAAAGTAAATATGATTAAAAAGAGACAGAAACAGGGAGAGCCAAAATCCCTATTCTCATGAAACTTTCTTTTAAGTAAAATAAACAGATAAAATATGAACGTATTATTAGAGCCACGCACTACACTGGGGATTAAAATACGTTGGTAGGATTGTGTGTGAGTGGAAGGCCTAAGTAAAAGGTTGATACTTAGATGATTATGTGAATATTGCTGCTGTCAAAAGCAAGAGAAAAATGGGTCCTTTGATCTAGCAATACATCATTTCAGGAATGGTTTTAATTGTTGAAGGCAGAGAACACCACACATGCATGCTTACGTTAGCTAAAGAGGAAAGAAAAGTTAACTATAAAAGAGGAAAAAGATACTTGGAAGGAAACAAGAATTGAGACACAACTCTAATGAGAAGAATGTTACTTGTATCAAAGCAGGTATTCTTTGAACAGCGTTATTCCTGATTCCTCACTAAATATTCATCAACCTATTCATCAATCATATATCAGTTTAAATATTAATTATTCAAATAAGGATTGTTTCCACAGATTATATCAGATTCCTGATTAATAAGCATTAATATGTCACCCTGTATTTTATAAATACTTCATGAATTAGTAAGATATCAATGCAACACATAGATATTAATCACTAAGTCTATAAATACGGTATTGTTCTTCCTCAGAAAAACATCTCTATCTTCTACTGGTCATCACTTTAGAATCTTAAAATTAATCTCAATATTCATTAGTATTTTCATTAGTATTTGTAAATAATAAATCTCCTTTAAAGTCAGAATTAATCCTTTCAATTTTATTGAAAAGATTAGTCTGATATTCCAAAATTATTTGGGGTAGGTGGATTAAAAATCAGTCTCTAATGTAAATAATTTTAATTAATTACAATATTTTAATTAAAATTATGCACAATCTTATATGATAAAAGTGATCAATATTTAATGTGTGATTACCATGTTGGTAAAAATAGGTAAATGTTCATACCATAGTATCTGATAAACCATGAAAAATAGAGCCATGCAAAACCTAAATATTTTCATTACAACATCAAAAATTATGTTTTAGTTTGTAAATGTTTATTCCTAATAAATTATTCTTATAAAAAAAGAGAAAAAAGAATTGTAGTAAAATTATTATATCAACACTTTACAAAACTTTCTATTGACCAACTATTTGAAAAAGAATAAAAAGACATTAAAAACCAAAAGTGATAAGAAGATTTATGGTAAACGAATATTTTATTTATAAAAAAATAGACTCAGCTTTTCCTGGCATTGGATGGCTATAAATTATAAAAACTACTCCAATGCTGGTCAAAGACATAAACAGAATTTCAAGACTTTTATTAAACTAATGGAACAAAAATAAGTTTAAAACAATAACACCAGCTGAAATAATTGCAGTGAGATATGGTTTTTCAAATAATGTTGGCAAGTTCACACCTTGCAATCAAACACACATACACACACATATCTTCAACACATAAAAGTTTTTAAGTACTAATTTGCACTCCTCGCCAAACACTTCGTAAGGTGCTGATCCATGCAGTCACTAAGCAGAAGGATGCTGATGCCACAAAGTCCTTTATATATCAGGAAAAATAATGTATTGCTTGAATAATTTGTAGAAAATACTGCAAATGCAATCTTATCTCCAACCTGAAGGTTACACGATTCTCATGAAGTGTTCAAAGATACTGCCCAGATTAAAAAAAAAAAAAAATTGGTTATGTGATTTCCTAGGTGGGAGTGTATGTCATTTAGAGTTGAGGTCTGGGCAGGAGGCTGTCTGAAAAATTAAACAATTATTTTCCATTCATAATTCTTTCTTTTTCAGGAAAATAAATAGATTCTTAAATCTACATAATTTGAGATTATGTCACTCAGATCCAGGTAATAAGTTGACTAAGATACATTTTTGCCGATTTTTTAATGAGAAAGACCAAGCTAAGAACCAGTAAAAACTGGAAAATAATTTAAAAAATCAGGAGTGGGCCAGAACATGTTTATAGCCAGGCAATTTAGAGCTATTTTAAAATGCTGGATCCCAGCCCTTAATAACCAAGAGATAGTGGGCAAATACTACGATCTAGCTGCATCACAGGACCCTTATATGTAAACTGAGGTAACAGTAGTTGTATAATATCTGTGGTGTGATGACAAGATAAGATAATGCATATAAAGAACAGTGACAGAGATGTTAAATTATCAAGAACTAACCCCTAGAATATTTTATTGATGTCATTTGATTTAACGCCACAGGTGTATGCATTTGGCATTATTATCTTCCATCATTATCCTTATGCTAGGGATGATTACATATATACTCAGAGATTATCAGATTTCTGACACAATTTCTATTTAGTAAGTGGTGGAGCTGACATCTGAAGGAACGTGTCTGAACTTCAAATTTAGGCTCATGACATGGTTACTAAATATTTATAAGTTTATTGTGAAATCTTATGAGATTGGAAACCTTCAACATAAAGGAAAGATTAAATTCTCTACATAAGGTATAGAAGTGACCTGATTGATTGGCTCTGTGGAAGACTATTACATTCACTTAACACTAAATTGAAGATACCTGTATTAGTCTGTTCTCATGCTGCTAATAAAGACATACCTGAGAGTGGGTAATTCATAAAGGAATGAGGTTTAGTGGACTCACAGTTCCACACAGCTGAGGAAGCCGTACAATCACAAAGGAAGGCAAAGGAGAAGCAAAGAAACATCTTATTTGGTGGCAGGCAAGAGGGCATGTGCAGGGGAACTCTTGTTGATAAAACCATCAGATCTCGTGAGATTTATTTACTATCATGAGAACAGCAAAGAAAAAACCTACCCCCATTATTCAATTACCTCCCATCAGGTCCCTCCCACAACACATGGGGATTGTTACAATTCAAGGTGAGATTTGGGTGGGGATATGGAGCCAAAGCATATCATTCTGCTCTGGCCCCTCCCAAATCTCATGTTCTCACATTTCAAAACTAATCATGCCTTTCCAACAGTCCCCTAAACTCTTAACTCATTTCAGCATTAACTTAAAATTCCAAAGTCCAAAGTCTCTTCTGAGACAAGGCAAGTCCCTTCCCTCTATGAGTCTGTAAATTCAAAAGCAAGTTACTTACTTCCTAGAGACAACGGGGGTACAGGCATTGGGTAAATACATCCATTTCAAATGATGTGAAATTGGCCAAAACAAAGGAGCTACAGGCCCCATGCAAGTCCGAAATCCAGCAGGGCAGCCAAATCATAAAGCTCCAAAATGATCTCCTTTGACTCCACATTTCACATCCAGGTTATGCCGATGCAAGAGGTGGGTTCCCATGGTCTTGGGCAGCTCTGACCCTGTGGCTTTGCAGGGTACAGCCCCCTTCCTGGCTGCTTTCACAGGCTGATGTTGAGTGTCTGTGGCTTTTGCAGACACATGGTGCAAGCTGTTGCTGGATCTACCATTCTGGGGCCTGGAGGAGGATGGTGGCCCTCTTCTCACAGCTCTACCAGGCAATGCTTCAGTGAGGATTCTATGTGTGGGCTCTGACCCCACATTTCCCTTCCACACTGCCCAAGCAGAGGTTCTCCATGAGGGCCTCAGCCCTGGAGCAAACTCCTGGCTGGACATCCATGAGTTTCCATACATCCTGTGAAATCTAGGCAGAGGTTCCCAAAGCTCAACTCCTGTCTTCTTTGCACCTGCAGGCTCAACACCAGGTAGAATCTGCCAAGGCTTGGGGCTTGCACACTCTGAAGCTATGGCCCAAGCTCTATTTTGGCCCCTTTTTAGCCATTACTGGAGAGACAGGGATGCAGGGCACAAAGTCCCTTGGCTGCACAGAGTACGGGAGCCCTGGACTTGGACCACCTAACTATTTTTTCTCTTAGGCTTCCAGGCCTGTGATGGGTGGGGCTGCCATGAAGGTCTCTGACATGCCCTGGAGACATCTTTCATATTATCTTGGAGATTAATATTTGGCTCCTCGTTACTTATGCAAATTTCTGCAGAAGGCTTGAATTTTTCCTCCGAAAATGGGTTTTTCTTTTCTATCGCATTGTCAGGCTGCAAATTTTAAAAACTTTTATGTTCTGCTTGCCTTTTAAACATAAGTTCCCATTCCAAACCATGTATTTGTCAATACCTAAAACTAAATGCTTTCAACAGTATACAAATCACCTCTTGAATGCTTTGCTGCTTAGAAATTTCTTCCACTGGCCGGGCGCAGTAGCTCATGCTTGTAATCCCAGCACTTCGGGAGGCCAAGGCAGGCAGATCACTTGAAGTCGGGAGTTCAAGACCAGACTGACCAACATGGAGAAACCCTGTCTCTACTAAAAAATACAAAAAAATTAGCCAGGCATGGTGGCACATGCCTGTAACCCCAGCTACTCAAGAGGCTGTGGCAGGAGAATTGCTTGAACCCAGGAGGCAGAAGTTGCAGTGAGCCAAGATCATGACTCCAGCCTGGGAAACAACAGGGAAACTTCGTCTCAAAAAAAAAAAAAAAAGAAAGAAAGAAATTTCTTCCACCAGATGCCCTAAATCATCTCTTTCAAGTTTAAAGTTCCACAAATCTCTGGAGCAGGGGCAAAATATCGCCAATCTCTTTGCTAAAGCATTACAAGTGTCACCTTTGCTCCAGTTCCCAACAAGTTCCTCATCTCCATCAGAGACCACCTCCACCTGGATTTCATTGTCCATACCACTATCAGCATTTTGGTCAAAGCCATTCAACCAGTCTCTAGGAAGTTTCAAACTTTCCCACATTTTCCTGTCATCTTCTGAGCCCTCTAAATTGTTCCAGCCTCTGCCTGTTACCTAGTTCCAAAGTCACTTCCATATTTTCAGGTATCTTTACAGTAGCACCCAACTCTTGGTACCAGTTTACTGTATTAGTCTGTTCTCACACTGCTAATAAAGACATACCTGAGACTGGGTAATTTATAAAGGAAAGAAGTTTAATGGAATCATAGTTCCACCTGGCTGAAGAGGCCTAATGATCATGCGGAAGGCAAAGGAGAAGCAAAGTCACATCTCACATGGTGGCAGGCAAGAAGGCATGTGCAGTGGAACTCCCCTGTATAAAACCATCAGATCTTGTGAGACTTATTCACTATCACAAGAACTGCATAGGATAAACTCACCCCCACGATTCAATTACTTCCCACAGGGTCCCTCCCATGATGTGTGGGGATTATTACAATTCAAGGTGAGATTTGGGTGGGGACACAGAAACAAACTGTATCAATACCTAGATTAATTTTAATAAGAATATAAAGGTATTTTACTCTCAATAAAAGACTGACCAACATATTATCATGGTAAGAACTCAATACCAGAACTGGTTTGAAAGTTGTCTGAGCTGTCAGTGATATCTAGCTTTAGTAAACATAGAGCTAAAAGCCAACAAATCAGTGATAGTCCTTCTTTAAAATGAGTCACTTGGCAGATGCATGCCAATGAGCCAGCTTGTAAGGCTGACATCAACTTATTCTTGTCTTTCTCGCCTTGTGACTAAGAAAATCTCAAAATTAATGCTTTCCAAAAATGTAGTAAACAATTAGGAGTTGTTCTGCTTAATGAAATAATACCTGGTCAGACTAGATCCTCCTTACATAAGTGAAGATTGTAATTCAGCTTTTATGGCACATATTAAGTAATGATTTTACTTTCAATATTACTAATACCCACATAACATGGAAGGGTGAGAACTGAGTCAAGAAATATCTGACAGGAACAGGGAGCTGGAAAATTCAGGTGTCAAAGACCTCTCCATTCTGATTTTGTAGCAAAGGCAAGAGTGGAAAACTCAATTTGGTACAGACACGTAAATAACTACACAGATGATCACATCAGATGACGAAGGTGGACGTTAATACAGCTAAATCATCTTTGCTGCAAAACACATGAAGTAACACAGCTTAGTGGTTAAGAGTCTGACCACAGAGTCAGTCAGGTGTGAGTGAGAGCTGATTCCTTGCTTACAAATGTGATCATCTTGCACCAATCATTTATGCTCTTAAGGATCCTCCTTTGGCCTCAGAATCTTGAAGTATAAGATGGGGATAATACTACATTTTCCAAGGGGATAGTAATCATAGTTGTGTAGCAGAGTTAGGCATTATTTTCTAAAATGCTACTCCCAGAGTTTATTTGTCTAGTATGGGTCTCAAGCACTAGTATTCTGAAAGCTTCCTGGAAGATTCTAATGTGCAGGCCGTGTTGAAAAACAATGGGTTAGGAGAATTAAAATATGTATGATTTAAGGGTGTTAAGACGAATTTATTTTTATAGTCAATTCTTAATACTTGATAATTTTATTGTTTCTGTGGAAACAATAATAGTAGTATTAGTTATCAACATATTAGGCATTGGGATTACTGGTAGGGGTAGCTATAATTCCTGCTGCATGACTGCCTCAAGCCCTGCCTTTCTTCCTAGTATGTAGATGGGTTTTTCTATTTGAAAATTTAAGCCATAATAAATCTAAAAGTATGTGTTTCCTTCTCATCTAGATTTTAAATATTTGGAGACTTATAGAATATTGGAGATAATCCAATATCCCTTCTAATACCAGAAAAGCATAGATATACTTCTAAAAATATAAAGCAATAGATGAAAATCACAAATGAAAAGATATTACAATTGAAATAACTGTCAACAGAGATTTTTTAAATTAAAGAAAAAAGTAGAAAAGATCTAATTTTAGTTCTCAACTAAGTGCCTGTATGAAATTAGAATAGATATATTCTAAGTACAGGAATCATCCAAGTAGATAAAGATGACTATTGTCAAGTTAAAAATGGCCATGGAAATGGAGAAGAATAATTATATCATTGAGGAACTGGAGTCAGTGTAACACAAGTAAAATTGAGTAATTCTTCTGTAATTTATAATTCAGACTTAACAGTACAGTGAAAATAAAATGTGTAAAAAAGAAGCAGACACAAATTCTATAATTATGCATAAGGTTCACCATGTTTATGCATTTCTTGGAAAGATTATATCCTAATTATATGCAATTATGAATTTGCATATATTAAATATGTATATATAATTATATATGTGTGTTATATATACACACACTCACATATATAAAATTGCCAACTAGTGTGTTTTATTTCTCTAAAGAACTTTTCAGAATCTACAAGGAACTCAAAAACTCAGTAAGAAAAAAAAACAACCTCATTAAAAATCGGGCAAAGGACACAGACATTTACAAAAAAAGAAAGACACACAAGTGACCAACAAACATAAAAAAATGCTCATCATCACTAACCAGAGAAATGAAAAAATCACAAAGAGATATTTTATGCCAGTCAGCAATGGGCATTATTAAAATTAAAAAATAATAGATGTTGGCATGGATGTGGAGAAACACTGTTGGTGGGAATGTAAATTAGTACAACTTCTTTGGAGAATGGTATGGATATTTCACAAAGAACTATAAGTTGAATTACCACTTAACCTAAAAATTCCAGTACTGGGTATCTACCAAAAGAAAAAGAAATAATTTTTTCAGAAAGACACCTGCACTTATATGTTTATCACAGTACTATTCACAATAGCAAAGTCTTGAAATCTATCTAAATGTTCATCAATGGATGATTGGATTTAAAAATGTGGTGTATAGACACCATGGGATACTATGCAGCCATAAAAAAAATTAATTAATCATGCCTTTTGCAGCAACATAGATGTTACTGGAGGCATTATCCTAAGTGAAATAACTCAAAAACAGAATATAAAATACATGTTCTCACTTATAAGTGGGAGCTAAACAATAGATACACATGGACATAAAAGATGGAAATAATAGACATCGGGGGCTCCAAAAGCAGGGATGGTAGAAGAGCGACTGAGGGTTGAAAAATTACCTATCAGGTACAATGTTCACTATTTGTATACTGGGTACCCAGAATGTTGTTTCTTTGTTTGTTTGTTTGTTTCTGGAAGCCCAGATCTTACTATTATGTAATATATCCATGTAACACCCCTGCACACGTACCCTCGAATCTGAAGTAATAAAAATAAGTTTTCATCTTTTCTGTTTTCCTAGTGCCCTTTGTATTTGTTATCAAATCTCAAGAGACCAAATATTAAACATATCTTTTCTATTTTTTCTTTTTATATTGTTAATATGGACTTATTTTATATAAAAATGTATGAAGTTTGTCACCATATTAATAATTTGTTTGCTTTCATGGTATTTGCTTTCTTTCTTTTTTTTGTTAAAAGGAAAAATAAATCTCTGTCCCATAAAAATAAATAATACTCAGTGGTCCTTTCTAAAGTTTTGATGCAGGATATTTTCTTGACCCCTTTGCAGTACATGGGTGCCCCGTTTACTCTGCCTGCCATGCTCAACGTCTTGCAGGAGGGTGTGCATAGGTGAGCGAGTGTGGGAACCAGCCTGCCTCTTCAGTGTAGGCAGAAGCAAACACTCGGGTCCACTGTACCCCACCCCTTGTGGGAGGGAGTGTGTAGGCAAATGAATGTGGGAACTAGCCAGCTGCTTTGGCACTGGCAGGAGCAAACTCTGTGAAGGCCAAGCAGCAGTGTCCAGGTGGGAGTGCCTGTGACCCCAAGGCCCCAGAGAGTGTTTTACAATGTTATCTTAGCTCCACTGCCCACGGACAGAAATGTATTATCAGCTCAGTGGATCTTTGCCTCGTTACATGGGGTGACTGCTCTCTGCCAGTGAGGGCAAAGGGCCAGTGTAACAGTCTTTTTGGGTACTTGCACTTGCTGCATCCCAAATTCTTGTCCAGTACCCAAGAAGAATGAGATCATGCAGATGAATTGAAGGATGGTGAATGTGGAGAATTTTAGTAAGTAATGAAAGTGGCTCTCGGCAGAGAGGGTAGCTGGAAAGACGACAGGAAAGGCATGTCACTCTCCCCTAAAGTCAAGCTACCTCTCTGCCTTTCTCCTCTGAAGTCAAGTAGCCTCTCTCTAATATCTGGCATCATCTCTGAAGCCAAGTCACCTCTCCCTGATGTCCAGCCTCTTCTCCCCTGTACCAGCTGAGTCTGGGGTCTTTATAAGCACCAGATGCGGGGGCCAAGCAGGCTGTAGGTAGTTTTGGAAAAGGCAACATTCGATTAGTAAAAAGACAATATTCAGAAAGAACCAATCAGGAGATAGTGGGCAAACAGGTATAGAAGTTCTTACTTTGGGCTGCGGGTTTCAGGCTTTTTGGCTTAAAGGTGGGGCTTCACCAGGAACCTGCCCCTGTCTGCCTAGAATTTCTCTGTCTCCTGTCTCTATCAGTTTTACTTCTGTATTATATTCAAATTTCTAATTCATCTGGAATTATTTTCTGTGTATGGGTTAAGAGTAAAATTCAACTTCCTGTTATACTTCTGAACAATTACTGCTTATCTCAGCATCATTTATTACCATATAAAACTTTTCTCACTAACTCTGTGCCCCCATTTTAAAACATTAATGTCTTTACATATGCTAAGCCAAAGTAAACTAATTTGGGTTTTGTACCATGGAATTTGTCATTTGTTTCTAAGCTAAAATTTTAATATTTTTAAAGTTTCAGGAATGCACCAGAACAGGTCTCAACTTGAAACTCTTAGTCCTTTGTGATATTCTGCTTCTTCAGCAATGTAATTTACATAAATACATACACACACACACACACACACACACACACACACAAACAACCCTACAGACACACAGTCACATATACATTTTTGTTTGCTAAATGATTGAATATATAGTATTGATCACTCTCTTTTAAAAAGATATGCAAGAGTAATCACATAAATCTGTATGCAATATTAATTTTTGTTCAGAATGCAAACAGAAGTAGTAGAAACAAGAGAAAAAAATAGTAACTATAACCAACATAGATGTTTGCTTTTCTGGAATGTAAAGTAAATTATGGACTTCAACAAATCTGTGCTTTCGCTAGATATAGTCACATTCTTAAGGTTTTTCTAATGTTCCATCATACCTGACTGTGGTCCTCATATTTTTATTATATAAAAACTACTGTAGCTCTACCCAGCATATCAAAATTTCCTGAAGGAGGTAATAAGGAATAAACACAGAACAAAAAGTCATATGACAGCAAAATCAGCTCATTATTAAGTGCTCTACCAGAATACAAGAATTATGTTGCCTAGATGTATGCAATAAGACCATTCTTAAGCATAAGGGGAAAAGGTCATTGTTGGATAGTTGGACACAACACAGTTGCAAGCAAACAGGATTATCCAAGACAGAAAATGGAAATTATTCTATGTCATAAGCCCTACATACATTTTTGTGTGACTAATGGAATATTCAGATCACCTGTACTATAAAATTTAATGAGTAATCTTAAACACAGATGACAAATTATATTGATACTTTAACATGGACCTAAATGACAATTACGTTCATACTGCAAATGAAAAAAGAACAAATTGAAAATCTCAGAATACCAAAATAAGACAAATTGGGTAAAATTTTTAAATTCTTATGAAAACATGATAGCTGTTCATATTTATGAAGTACATGCATGTGATATTTTGATACAAGCACATGATGTGTAAAGATCAAATTAGGGTAAAGAAAGCTTGAAACTTTTACAAATCAGGAAAGAGAAAAATTCAAATAATGACAATGAGAGAAATGAACTTCGAAGCTTGTAAATGCCATTTGACATTTTTAAAGTTAATTACTTTTGTAAAACTAAATTTAACATAAATTGTCAAAATAATAGATTGTAAATTTACTAAAGATAATGATTTTCTGTTTTCCTAGCAATGTCCTACTTTCCTTTATTTTCTGCTAAGGTAAAACTATCACTTTCATTTAGATTGGACACCTGTATAATATACTAAAAGAATTTATAGTGACAAACACCATTTATCAAGTGATAGCTTTGTGAGTATATTGAAATATGTAAAAAGTAATATCTTTTGATACTGTTGACAGCAGCTTATTTTGTATGTGTTTCAATTGAATGCTCACAAAATTCCTGTCATGTTTATCTGAAGTGAAAAGATGAGACCAACTGGCAATTACAGAGAATTGTAGTTTTAAAATAATAGACTTTTAATCACTTAAACAGACCTATTTTTGGCAATTACATAGATAAATATGGATTAACAAAGTAAAACTAAAAAGTTTGTAAAAGCATATAACTAAAATGAAAATAATATCTGAATATCATCTAACAGGTGCCCCTAATTCCTGGGCCATGGATCGGTATCAGTCTGTGCTCTGTTAGGAACAGGGCCACACAGCAGGTGGTGAGCTGTGGGTGAGTTAGCATTACCACCCAGGCACTAATGGCTGATGATTTGAGATGGAACAGTTTCATCCTGCAACCATCTCCCCTCCCTCCATTCCCATCCGTGGAAAAATTGTCTTCCACAAAACCGGTACCTTATGCCAAAATGGTTGGGACTGCTGATCTAAATTACATAATTTTTGTAATAAACGGAAAAAAACCTAAATGGCTAGACAATTTTGTTAATATTATTTTTAACTGATAAATCATACTTGAATACATTGATGGGTACAATGTGATGTTGTGATATATGTATATAATGTGAAATAATTAAATCAAGTAAATTAATATATTTATAACTTTACTTACTCATAATTTTTTGTGGTGGTGAGACATTTGAAACTTACCTTCTTAGCAATTTTGAAATATACAATACACTGTTACTGACTATAGTTACCCTGCAGTGGAATAAATCTCAAAAACTTATTTTTCCTGTCTACTGAAAAATTGTACCCTTTGACCAACAAGTCTTTACCCTCCTTTTACTCCCCTAAGTCCATGTAACCCTCATTCTACTCTATTATAAGTTCTACTCTTTTAGATTATACAAGTAGGTGAGATCATGTGGCTTTTATTTTTCCATGTCTGGCTTATTTTACTTAGCATAATAATGACCAGACAATTTAAAATATATATTTGTATTAGGTTAGTGTGGGCATGGAGAATCCCTAGGTTTCAATAAAGTATTTTAGAAGCTGGAGTTTGGTAGGAAAATGTCTTCAGTATTCTAAGAACAAGCATTTCAAACTAAAACTCAATGTCCTCAATCAAATGTTAACTATTTCAAACTGAAATTTAATTCCTCAATCAAATGTTAAGACCAGAAATATATGTATGTGTGTGTATCCATGTGTGTCCATTCAAACATGAAAAGAGTCTAAAATTTTCCCTTCCATTAACTTTTAAACATTTTCTTAGATAGTTTGAAACATTTTCTTAGTTTATACATATAAAAAATACAAAATACTTGTATAAGTATATCTATATATGCATATAGTCTACACCATTATATTTGTTCCCTATTTATTTATTCTCCAAATCCATTCATATAGTTCCATACTTACATACACACAAATACACCTATATATATAATTACATATGCATATATATACACATACACGTATATACACACACACATATATATATATACAAGGAATTTAAAGTTTTCATACTCCGAACTTCATAAATACCTTGCAATTTTAGCTACATATTACATTTTCTGTTTAGAAAATAATGACAATTAAATGTTGATTTATTATCTTCTTTTAATAACATATTAAACAAAATATTAACTGTTTAGATCTAGGTTGATTTAACTCTGAATTTACTAATTTGATTAATGTATCTTATAGGTTTTATGCTAAATTTAGCTTTCTGGGTTTTATATCTTTTTAAACATGATCAAATTAGCTATTTACATATTTATTTTAATTCTGGTTTTGTTTCTGATTACTTTTTCTAAAAAAAATCAGGCTTGGTAATTAGGTTATATAGCAAAATATTTTTAATAAATAAAAGGTCCTTTCAAAGTTTTCAGATCAATGTGTTATATGCAGATGGTAGGATATTTATTAAAATATTGTATTGGCAATGAAGTAATAAGACAAACATTGCCATTATTTTCTTAACCTGCTCCGAGTAAATCTGGTTAAACATATGCCATATGCCTTTACATAAAAAACAAACATAAAAATGGGTGCAATTAGTCGTCATGTGTTAAATATTAATAAAATTTCTAAAATGCTCCCCATAAATAAAGCAAATATCTCTAAAGAATATATATTTAATCATTTGCAATCAAGATGCTTTCCAGTGACCCTGAAATTTTCTTCTTTATTTTTTAAATTTTTTTGAGACAGGGTCTTGCTCTGTCACTCACACTGGAATACAGTGGCGAGATCTCAGCTCACTGCAACTTTAGCCTCGTGGGTTGAAGCGATTCTCCTGCCTCAGCCTCACAAATAGGTGGGACCATAGGCGCACAACACCGCACCCAGCTAAGTTTTTGTATTTTTAGTAGAGACAAGTTATGCCATTTTGCCCAGGCTGGTCTCAACCTCCTGGGCTCAGGTGATCTGCCCACTTCGGCCATCTAAACTGCTGGGATTAAGGTGTGAGCCACTATGCCTGGCCCAAATATTTTTCAATTTAAAGAAGGAATTCTTTTAATTTTTATCAAAAGTATATAGATAAACATATGTATGTTTATCTGCCTTTCTCTTTCTTTGTATATCTATATATCTATCTGAGATTTATAGGAATATAAGTTTTTATGTATATATAAAACAATGATTTACATATATGGCTACAGAAAGAGAAGGAGAAAGACGTTAGGACATTTCGTCATTTATGGAATACAATGTAATTTTACTGCAAAGAATTGTAAAAAAAATTACATTCATTCCAAGTTATCTATTAATAGAATTGATATAACTTATCTATCTATCTGCTTTTTATGAGAAAATTTTCATATCTATACAAAGGGCAAAAAAGTATAGGATTTATGATAAAAACTCTCCTACTATGGTAAAAATTCAAAATAATTCATGGATATTTTAACTAATTAAAAAGACAATCATTTTTTAAGAAACATTTTCCAAAAAATTTACTTTTATACTAATTATTATTCATCAAACTTTTATATATATTTTGTTTTATTCCCCCACGTTTGTTTTATTTGAATTTTTTTGTTTCATTAAGGATGAACATCTGCTTATGAAATTGTTTTGGCTAATCTTTTATTTAGAATTGTATTTGGTATTTTAATTAATAAATTGTCAATGCAAAATTAAGAAAACTACAGTAATTTCAAAAATGTAATTGCTTTGTTTAGGATTACATAATTTGTATTAGAACAAGAAAGAGAACTGACCTTTTACAAAACCACAGTTGGGCTTCTTATGAAAGAAACAAGCTGTTCTGTCTGAAAGAAACAAAAGAAAACCCAAAACAAACAAACAAGAATTCTGTGTTTATTATTCCATAATTGTTTACATTTCTTACTAATATAAAACTGAGCCTTTTAACATTTCGTTATAACATCCTATAGCTATTTTACAAGAAAATATATCTTTTGTATTCTATTTAATATTTGATATAAATTTTCTTACTAACTGTAAAAGGATTAAATTTTATTTTGTCAAAAATTAAATGATGAATTGTTATCTCTCCTTTATTTTATTTTACATAGGTATAACATAGAAAATTTACTCATTTGGCCGGGCGCGGTGGCTCACACCTGTAATCCCAGCACTTTGGGAGGCCAAGGCGGGCAGATCACGAGGTCAGGAGATCGAGACCATCCTGGCTAACACGGTGAAACCCCGTCTCTACTAAAAATACAAAAAATTAGCTGGGCATGGTGGCGGGCGCCTGTAGTCCCAGCTACTCGGGAGGCTGAGGCAGGAGAATGGCGTGAACACAGGAGGCAGAGCTTGCAGTGAGCCGAGATCGCGCCACTGCACTGCACTCCAGCCTGGATGACACAGCGAGACTCCGTCTCAAAAAAAAAAAAAAAAAAAAAAAAAAATTACTCATTTATTTTTATTCAAAAAGTATAACTAAAAACAGTCAAAATTGTATATCCTTATATTCAATGAAATTCAACTTTTTCTGACATCTATAAATTTTTTTAACATTTTAAATAAAGCATAAAATACATAGGGAAGGTGGACACATCACACGCGTACAACTTGATGAATATTCACAAAATGAATGCATCTATTTAAACTCCTCTCTCATCAGAAAACAGGACATTAAGAACACTTTAGAAGCCCTCCTTGTGCTCCCATCTAACATTTTCTCTTCCCCAAAGTTAACTATTATTTTGATTTTTGTTATTATAAAGTACATTTTTTAATTTTTGAAGTTTATACACATAGAATTATGCAGTATGACACCTTTACTTTCTGCCTGCATTTGCTCTATATTATATTTGTGATATTCATCTCTGTGGTTGGATGAAGCTGTTCATTCTTTTCATTGACATAATATGGTATTTTATTAAATGAATGTACCACCACTTACTTAAAAAGTTTATGATTTATTGGTGTCATTATTGGTTTTCATTGCTCCCAGTTTGGGGCTAATACTAAAATATGATGTGAACATTCTTATCCATGTATTTGGGTGAACTTATGATTACATTTGCGTATATTATTCATCTTGGGGTGGCACTGGTGATTCACAGATATTTTTTTGTTCAATACTTAAATCCTGCCAATTGCTTTCCAATGTAGTTGTATAAATTTACAATATTACCAGCAATGAGTAAAATTTTCAATAGCTTCACAACATTGCAAACCCTGGGTGTTCTCTCCCTTTTGCTTTTTAGTAAATGCTAGTATTCTATGAAGATGTGTTATTGTGGAAACTAATTTTATGTTCCGCATGACAAATAAGGTTGAACACTTCATCACTATATTGGTCACCTAGAAATTGCTCTTTTTGAAATTGCCAATTCAAGATTTTGCCCATTTAAAAAAAATCAGGTTGTCTCTTTTCATTGATTTGTAAAAGTTATTTATATCCTCACTATATGACAGTTTAATGAAAATAAATATTACAATGGTCTTTTCCTATCCAATGGCTTATTCTTAAATTCTCTTTTGAAGAGCCTATTAATAAAAATATTCTGAAGACTCCATTAATAAAATATTATATTTCCATCACTATTTAGTACATTTCATTTCCTTTTAAGAAATATTTGCTTACCTCCAAGCTAATGAATGTGTTCTACATGTTATTGTCTAGAAATTTTAATGTTTATGCTTACACTCAAATCTAAAACACAGCTGGAATACAATTTTAAGTAGCATTTGAGGTGGGGTGCTAAATTATTTTCCTACATGCTTCTCCCAACCTGACAGAATTCACCCCCATAAATCTGTGTCATGCAGGAGAAATGAAGGCATGCTACCTGAAGGTTAGTTGATGCCAAATTTGTAGAATATATTTCCTTCCCCAATTCCCAAATCGTCATGTTTTTTACTTTCTTTATATTATTTTTATAGACCCCATTTATTTTCTTATTGGTCTCTATTTACTTATTTATTAAAAGTAAAAGTATCTCAAAAGGGAGAAAACACCTATGGGGCTCTATATGTTTATATCTATAAATATTAGGAAGAACAGTCAAAATAAAGCAGCTCTTCTAAATTCTCTTTTTATGCTGTGTAGATCCCCATAGTAGTTGCCTCCACTTTGAAACACTCCTATTTTTCAAAAAAAAATGAGTAGAGATTTATAGGAGATTAATAGGGAGCCTATGAAAAATATTGTGAATAGAGAAAGTTTAAAAATATGGACAAATTGGAGAGATATAAAGTTTACTGACCTTTAAAGGTTAAAGTTAACTGACCTCCAGGAAGCTGGTCTTTCTTTATCTTACATGATAAATTTAAAGTTAACCAACCTGTAGGAAGCTTGTCTGTCTTTATCCTACATGACATAGATTTAGTGGGGCAGACTCTCAGTTTGGGAGAGATCTGCCATTGTCGGTTTTTTCCTGACCAAATAGTTAATTAAGCAGACAGTACATAGAGTTCTATAAATGCACCCCTGTGCAGAACACACACACACACACACACACACACACACACACACACACACACAGATTTCCCTCTATTATTAACATATTCTATTGATGAGGTACATTTCTTCCTATTGATGAACCAATACTGACACATTATTATTAACCACAGCGTAAACTTTATATCATGCATCCCTCTCCATGTTGGACAGTTCTATGTGTCTTGTGTTGTATAGTTCCATGGACATAATGACATGTATTCATAATTACAATTGCATACAGAATACTTCCACCTATTCATCCCTTCCCTCTGTAACACCTAATCCGAGAAAACCACTGATCTTCACACCCTCCACAGATTTGCCTTTTCCAGAATGTTATATAGTTAGAATCATACAGAGTGTGGCCTTTTTAGATTGGCAATTTCGACTATGCAAAATGCATTTTAGGTTCTTCAATGTTTTCATGTGACTTCGCAGCTCATTTATATTTCTTTATGTGTTAAGGTTTATTTTCCTCGTATATGTAAACATATTTATAAAAGTCTAAATAGAATAAAATCAAAAAGTAGATGTCAATATTGTTCCATTTGGGTGGTGGTTTAAAAGTGAATTTTTTTCTAAGGTGAACTTTAAATGCCACACAACCATTTCAAAGTTTCAGTGGCGTTTAGTGTGTGTTTACACTGTTTGTGCTTTCACCATCTCTCTCTAGTTCTCAAACATTTTCATCTCCTCAGAAAAACACCTCCTGTTCATTAAATAAGTCCTCATCCTTCCCAACACAAACCCATCAAACTCACACTCACACCAACTCTCTGGCAACCATTAATTTGCTGTTTATCTGTATGGATTTGCCTATTTTAGATATTCAATATAAACATAATTATACCATATGCGACCTTTAATATCTGCCTCCATTCACTTATTGTAATTTTTGAGGCTTATTCATGTTGTGACGTGTGTCAGTATTTCATCCCTTTCTATGGCTGCATACTCTTTTATTTTACGTATATGTCAAATTGGTTTGTCAATTCATTCACAGATATTTGGTTGATTCTATCTTTTGGCTATTATAAATAAAGTTGCTGTAAAAATTTGGGTACATGTTTCGGTGTGGATTTATGTTTTCACATCTCCTGAGTATATGCCTAAGTGGGAAATTGCAGGGTGATTTGTAAATCTAAGTTTCACTTTTTGAGGAACTACCAAACTGTTTCCACAACAGCTGTAGAATTTTACCTACCCATGTGCAATGTGCAAGGGTTTTGACATCCTTGCTGTATGTAACTTGTTATTATTATTATTATTAAATATAGTGTTTATGAAGTTTCTTGGAATTTAGATTTGAGTTTCTTTAATGAGCAATAATGTTGAAGATCTTCTCATGTGTTTGTTATATAATATCTTGTTGTGTGCTTTTGTTCATCTTCTTTGGAGAAATGTCCATTCAAATCCTTTGTCTGTTTTTAAAAATTGAGTTGTTTGTCTTTGGTTGTTGAGTTTTAAGAGTTCTTTATACATTTAAGATACTGAACCTTTATTAAATATATGATTCACATATATCTTCTCTAATTCTGAAAGTTGTGATATCATTTCCATGATGATGTCTTTTGAGAGAAAAATACTTTTTATTAAAAAATGTTTACAAAATCCAATGTATCTACTTTTCCTTTTGTTGCTATTGCTTTTGATAACAAATCTAATAATCCCTTCTAAAACCCTAGGTAAGAAAGATTTAAGACTAATGTCTTGCAATAATTTCATAGTTCTATCTATTCTACTTAAATCACTAATATACTTTGACTGTGTTGTTTCTTTGTGTTTAGAATCAGGAAGGAATTGAGCTGTATTATTTTGCATGTGACTGTCCAGTTTTCTAAGCATCATTTGTTGAAAAACACATTCTTTTTCCATTAGATGGTCTTGGCACTCTTCTAAAAAATCAGGTGGTCACAGATGTTTGAATTTACTCCTGGACTCTCAACTCTATTCCATTGTTCTATATGTCTATTATCATCCCAATACCACACCGTATTGATTACTGTAGCATTGTAGTAAGTTTTGAGATAAATAAATCTGAGTCCTCCAAATTTGCTTATCTTTTTCAGGAAAAAAGTTGTTCACTTTTGCAGAAATGAAAAAACTGATCCCCAAATTCATAGTTCTAGAAATTGACATTTGCTTCCCAGGAAAGACTCAAGAGAGAAAAAACTAATATGGAAAAGCAATAAGATGAAATTTCAAGAAAATGATATCAAAATGAATATAAGTGTGTAAGAAAATATCCCAATATAATGCAAAATTTAGTTGTGGAAATAAAATACACATTAAAAAATTAAGCACTATAAAAATTATATATTTACTCACTTAGAAATCAGTTTCTTGCATTGTGCATTGCTTTGAGCAGATCAGATACATGTAGGCATCTTCCTGAAGAATATCTTTTAGCATTGTACTGCATGAAAATTTGGAATGAAATCTCCCAGATTTGTTTTTTCTTCATAAAATTGTATTTTGCCAATATAGTTAAGAAATATTTTCCATCAGACAATTAATTCTAAGTTAATAATGTTTGTTTGTTTCTTTCTTGAGTTACTTTAAACACATCAATTTTTTGTTTTCCACCATACATACATTTAGCAGATTTTGAGGCATTTTTGTCATTTGTTTCTGTAATTTGATTACTATGTGCCTGTGGAAAATTTCCCTTTTGTTTATTCTATGTGGGGTTTATTGAGCCACTTGGTTATGTGGTTTTAAAGTTATCAGCTGTAAAATTTTGAGGCATATTATGCTTCAGATATTGTTTTGCATTTTCCCTCCTATCTTCCTTTATCTGGGACTCTAAGTACATGGTTTTGTGGATTGAATTTCAGCCTCTGAAACATGTTTTCCTGGAACTTCCAATACTACCTTGTTTGGAATAAAGATATTTGAAAATGTAATTAAGGATCTCAAGATGAGATCATATTAAATGTAGGTTATTCCCTAAAACCAATTAGCAGTGTCCTTAGAAGAGGGGAGAAGACAGAGAGACACACAGAGGCGGGGTGGCATGTGAAGACAGAGACAGAGATTGGAGTGATGCATCTACAAGCCAAGGGACACCAAGAATTGCCAGCAGTCTCCAGAACCTAGGAGAAAGGAATCAAGTAAATCTTCCCTCAGAGACTTCAGAGGAAACCAATGTTGCCAACATCTTGATTTCAGATTGTCTAATTCCAGAACTATACGAGAATACAATTCTGCTGTTTTAGGCCATCAAATTTGCGGTAATTTTTAATGGCAATCTTAGACCAAAAGCAGAAGATATAAAAGTTTCTCAAGTAGCCAAAATTCTGCTCATTTTTTGTCTTCTTTTATTCTATGCTTCTATCTTCCAGTTTCTATTGTCATGTACTACTGTTTGGTTATGATTTGTTTGCCCTACCAAATCTCAAGTTGACATTGGATCCCCAGTGTTGGAGGTGAGGCCTGGTGAAAGGTGCTTGGGTGGTAGAGGCAAATCCCTCAAGTGGCTTGGTGCCGTTCTCACAGGAGTGAATGAGTTCTCACTCTTACCTCCCCAAAGAATTGATTGTTGAAAGCGTCCAGCACCTCCTACACCCTCTCTCTTGCTTTCTCTCTTACCATGTGATTTCTGTACATGCTGGTTTCTCTTTGCCTGCTGCCATGACTGGAAGCAGCCGGAAGCCCTCACTAGAAGCAGACGCCAGCACCATGCTTCTTGTGCAACCTGCAGAACCATGAACCAAATAAATCTCTTTCCATTACAAATGGCCAAGCATCACATATTTCTTTATTAGCAACACAGAGTAAGATATTATGTATTTAAGTTCATTTTCCCCTTCTGCAGTGTATTCTCTGCTACTAATACTATGCAAGGAATTTTTCATTTAGGAGTTTTTTTTTTTTTTGGTTGTTTGTTTGTTTGTGTTTTCAGACAGAGTCTCGCACTGTTGCCAGGCTGGAGTACAGTACAACCTCCACCTCCCGGGTTCAAGTGATTCTCCTGCCTCAGCCTCCCAAGTAGCTGGGACTATAGGTGCAAGCCACCACACTCAGCAAATTTTTGTATTTTTGGTAGAGACGGGGTTTCACCATGTTGGCCTGGATGGTCTCGATCTCTTGACCTCATGATCCACCCGCCTCGGGCTCCCAAAGTGCTGGCATTACAGGCGTGAGCCACTGTGCCCAGCCTAGGAGATATTTTTAACTTCAAAATGTTTCATTTGGTTCTTTCTACATTTTTTACCTTTCCTCATTATGTTATTTTTTCATTCAATATCTCACTGAGTTGAAATATACGTTCTTATGTTTTTGCATACTGAATTCATTATACCTGTCATTACTGAGTTTATTTCTATTGATTACTGGTTTGGAATTACACATCCCTGTGTCTTTCCATGTATAATAAATTTCGGTTGGATGCTGTGCATTATAAATTTTATGTTGATAAGACTGGATTTTGTTATACTCCTTTAGTGTTTGTTAGATGTTGTCCTTACTAACCACTAAATTTTTTGAAGATTAGCTTAAACCTTTCAACGATTCTGTAAAAGTCTTATTAAGGTGGGTTGTGTACCCCTTATTCACAGGTTAGTTTACAAATATTATTACTACTACTATCACCACAACCACTACTACTACTACTGCTGTTTCTCCTGAATGCCCCAGATGCCATGAGGAATTTGACTCTGGTTGGTCAGAAGGAACTTATGAGGTTACAAGTACCTGGTTTCATGAGCGTTCATCCTATGTAATCATGGCTTTATATTCCTCAAAAGACTTAAAGTGATCACTATGGAGGTTTCTTGGTAAGTTTCCTGAAAAGATCCACTCACGATCACACTCTGTCTGCAAATGTCATTTCCACCTCTTCAAACTTGTATAACTCAACTGAGAAACACGTTGTGCTCTGCTTGAGTTACTCATCATGCTTGGGTGCCTCATCATGGTCCCAAAAAAGCCTCTAGGCAAAAAGCCAAGGTCATTATAGAGCTCACTTCATTTGTTTCCCTTCACTTAGTGACAATAAACCTGTAGTGCCTATAGTCCAATGTCTGAAAGCAGCTGCCTCATATATTTTGTCCAATTGTCTCATTGTTTATAATGGAAGAAAAGTACTGTCCTACTTACTCTATCAATATGAAAAGTAATAATTCCTTAAAATTATATAATAAGCACATTAAATCATTACATAATATTTTACAAATTTTAGTGATAGTCTCTTACATATAGTGAAGGTACTATCATTTTACTTAATATTTTTTCAAATTACTATACATACACAGTACTAACAAGACCATCATATTTTAAATCCTCTTTTTACTCTCCCATCATGTGCTAGGTATTCTCTTGTTCTTGTAGATTCCACCCATGGCTTTGTAGATCTGCAAGTTGTGGCTGGCTCTCTTGACATACCTGAACATATTGCTGTGCATTTAGGAAGGGAGCATTATCTTTTAAAAACTCTCATTTGCGCATTCTTATTCACATGGGTAGATGTGAGAAGGAGAGTTAATATTATAGGAGGTTGTGGAAAATACTGTACTGTTTCTTAATTCTTAGCACAACTTTCTAAATCCCCATTTAATTTTTGGTCAGTTTTCTAAGTTTGATTTCTTATGTATTATTTTTCCCAATACATCTAAATGCATTCGCATTAAATAAATGGCAAACAGAGAGTAATTCTTTAATATCTCTTATTTTTCAACTTCTCCTTTTAATCACTACACCCTAGAGGAGGGAGTATATTACAGTGCTAAGAACATGGTCTCTGAATTGATTCTGACTAGATTCAGACATGAACTCTTCACTTCTTGGCTACAAGACCTGTATAATCAGAGTTAATTGAACACTCTTGTGCTGAGTTTCCTAAGCTCTGGATTGAAATTATTTACCACATAAAATTGTTTGTTAGGACTGAATAAGAAAGGGTTTCCTAAAGTGCTTTACAGAGTGAATGATCCACAAGGTGAAATAAGCAAAGTTAGCTACCATTATATTAATTATGAATAGAGTTTGGTAATTTCTACTCCAGTCCATATAAGTACATTTAACTCAAGACATGGCGTTTGATCTCTGATTATACTGGTTATTTCTAGAAAATATAAATAGGTGATCATAGGCTAGAAACAAAAGGAGACTTTGAAATTAAAAAAATACAGATGCTTCTCAAATTATGTTCCCATATAAACCAATCCCAAGTTGAAAATAGATTTAATACATTTAACCTACTGAACATCATAAATTTGCCTAGTCTACCTCAAACATGCTCAAAACACTCACTGTAACCTATAATTGGGCAAAATTATCTAACTCAAAGCCTATTTTAAATGAAGCATTGAATGTCTCATATAATTTATCAAATACTGTACTGGAGACAAAAAAACAGAATAGTTGTAAGGGTACTCAAAGTAGAGTTTCTACTGAATTTGTGTCAGTCTGTAAAAATATAAATCAAATGATATTAGGAAAATGATATTAGTAAATAAGATTTTGAATTCTAAATTTTGTTTTATGTGCATTAAAATAAATAACTAAAATGTAAACAAAAATAGTGTTTATTCCTTGTGACATTCTGAAGGAATTATTGTTGTAAAGTACTTATAACAATACAATTGTTCAAATATATTTATAGGTATCCACAATGATTAAATTAGGGGCCAATTCATTATTTATAGAATTATTTCAAAAATTATTTTATTAATTATTTTAAAAATAATTTCCCAATGTTGTATGTTCACATAAACAACCCAAGGATATACAAATACACACATATATACATGTACAAAACATACTTATCTGTAACTTTAACAGATGAGTCTGATAGACTCAGTGTTTTTATATTTATTTACAAAATAATCAAATATGAAGATTCACACATCTTTGCCACTATCTTAAATGGGTTTCATATATGTAACAATACTGTTATCCTAAGCAAATGAGAATTCTAAGTTCAATAGGTCATTTAATGCCCTTGCTCTTCATAAAAACCGTAATAAAGTGAACAATTTTAATTATTCATCACTATGCGTAAGTATGTAGTGAAATAGGCCCTTAGGACTTTGTTCTGATACTGCAAAATGATTCCAATTAGAATAGAAGTCCAATTACAAGAAAAATCAAGAATAAAATTTGAATTCCCATAATGTTTAACATTATTTTATTAAAAATGTTTAAACATTAAAAACTTGTATAATGACAATAAGATAGTTCAATTGTATCTAATAAATTACTAATATTCCTAGTATACTAGATTATAAAACAATAATTTCCTTATAAATCATTATGCCCAGCTGAAAATTCTTTCAAAACTATAATTCAAAGGGAGAGAAAAAACAATAGAGACTAAAAATATATCATGTCCATATATTTTTAATAATAATCTGTTGCTTTATCTTGTCTTTTTAGTAAACCAAAATACAATGTGATTATTTAAAAATAATTTATGATATTTCAATAAGAAATACATTGTTATTTATTATCAAATGACAAATCAAGAAATATTATTACCCTTTGCTCTCTGGCAAATTTGACATCATATACTGAGTTGGACCTATAATATTGTCTTTTTATGTATGGAATAGCATATAAATATACATTGATTATTGTCCAAGAGATTACCATTTTTACTATTATCTTTACAACTAGTTATCTCCTCAATGGTTTCTGTTAACATGTTATTAATATCAAGCAAATAATACCTTAATGAGTGAAGAGCATGGCAAATAATATGAAAAAATAGTATTTTATCACTCAGAAGGAACTTTATAATTTTTATTGAAACAAAATGTTTTGCATATTAGAGAGAACATGTGAGTATTTGTTACATGAATATAATGTGTAATGATCAGGTCAGGGTATTTGTGGTATCTATCACCTTGAGTATTTGTCATTTCCGTTTGTTCGTATTATTCCAAGTTCTCTCTTTTAGCTACATTGAAATATACAATACATCATTGCTAGCTACAGTCACCCTACTCTTCTATTTAATATCAGGGCTTATTCGTTCTATGTAACTATATGTTTTTACCCACAAACCAAGCTCTCTTTATACCCTCCTCCCACCCACACATCCTTCTATGACTCTGGTATCTAACATTTTATTCTGTCTCCATGCCATCAGGGTTTTTAACTTCCACATATAACTGAGAACGTGCAGCGTCTGTCTTTCTGTGCCTGGCTTATTTCACTTAATGTAATTACCTCGAATTCCATTGATGTTGCTGCAAATGCCATAAGTTCATTCTTTTTCTTTTAATTGCCAAGTAGTATTACAGTGTGTATATATACCACATTTTCTTTCATTAAGTTATCAGTTGGCACTTAGGTTGATACTATCTTTGCTATTGTAAATAGCGTTGTGATAAAAAGGCAAGTGAAATTATCTATTTGATATACAGATTTCTTTTTCTTTGGAAAAATACTCAGTAGAGGGATTGAAGGGTCATCTGGTAGCTGTACTTACAAATTTTGAGGAATCTCCATATGGCTTCCCACAGGGATTATGCCAATTTACATTCCCACAAACAAGGTTCTGTTTTTTTCTCCCCATCATCCCTACCATTTGTTATTTTGTTGTTGTTGTTGTTTTATCAATTGCCATTCTATCCAGGATAAGATGATATGCCATTGTGGTTTTGATATGCATTTCCCTGGTGCTTAACGATGCTGAACATTTTTTCAAATACTTCTTGGCCATTTATCTGTCTTATTTTGAAAAATATCTATTCATGCTCTTAGCCCAGTTTTTAATACGATTGTTATTTTTGTTGTTGTGTAATTGTTGATTTCTTGTATATTATGGAGATTAGTCCTATGTTGGATAAATAGCATGCAACCATTTTCTCTCATTAAACAGGCTGTCTCTTCACTCTGTTGATTTTTTCCTTTGCTACATAGAAGTTTTTTAGTTTAATATAATCCCACTAGTCTATTTTTGTTATAATTGTTTGTGCTTCTGAGGTCTGAGCCACGACATATTTGCCTAGACCAGTGTCTTGAATTATTTTCCCTATTTTTTTTTTTTTTTCTAGAAGTTTTATAGTTTGGGGTCTCACATTTCAGTCTTTAATTAATCTTTAGTTGATTTCTGTTTATGGAGAGAGATAGGTGTCCAATTTCATTCTTCTGTATATGAATAAACAATTTTCCTAGCACTATTTATTGAAGAGGCTGTCCTTAGTTTGGCACCTTATTCTAAATAAGTTGACTGTAAATACATAGATTTATTTCTGGAATCTCTATTCTGTGCCATTGGTTTATGTGTCTGTTTTTATACCAACACTGTGCTGTTTTGGTTACTATACCCTTGTAATGTATTTTGAAGTCAGGTGGTGTGATGTCGCTAGCTCTATTTCTTTCTTTCTTTCTCTCCTTTTTTTCTTTTTTTTTGTGATGTAGTCCCACTCTGTTACCAGGCTGGAGTGCAGTGGCATGCTCTCAGCTCACTGCAACCTCTACCTCCTGGGTTCAAGCAATTCTCCTGCCACAGCCTCCTGAGTAGCTGAGACTACAGGCACGTGCCACCATGCCTAGCTAATTCTTCTGTATCTTTAGTAGAGACTGGGTTTCACCATGTTGGCCAGGATGGTCTTGATCTCCTGACCTTGTGATCTGCCTGCCTCGGCCTCCCAAAGTGCTGGGATTACAGGTGTGAGCCATTGTGCCCGGGCTTCCAACTGTATTTCTTTTGCTCAGGATTGCTTTGGTTATTTGCACTCTTTTTAGATTTCATGTAAATTTTCGTATTGTTTTCTTCTAAGAAAAGATGCCCTTGGTATTTTCATAGAGATTGCACTGAATGTGTAGATGATTGTTTTGTATAAAATGGCTATTTTAATGATATTAATTCTTTCAACTTATGAGGATGGGGCATATTTCCATTTGTTTGTGTCCTCTTTAATTTATTTCATCAGTGGTTTGTTGTTATTGTAAAAGGGATTGCCTTCTTGATTTCTTTCTCAGCTAGCTTATTATTGGTGTATAGAAACACCAGCTCTCCCCTGGATGTGCCTAAGAATGATTTGCTATTTCTAATAAAAATGTATCAAATTCACATATATTTTTAATAGCTAATACCTTCACACTGAAAAATGAATAAAGAGACTATGTTTCTATAAAGAAATAATAATAGAAGCAATGGAGCTGTTGACATGGGTCAGACTAGTTAAAATTTTATTCATGGCAGAGGATTTAATTTGTTGCAAACAGACTTCAAAGTAGTTAAGGTTGTTTTTTTTTCTAAATTTAAAATCAGGACTACTACTAAATAATAAAGGTTTTTGAGTGATATTTTCATTGTATTCATTTAATTTTCTTGTAATTGTATACCTCTAAATTTTTCAACTTTCTTACATTTGGAAAAAAACAAAAGTAATTAATATTTAGTAAAAACTTATCTATACTTTACAAAACAATTTCCCCAGAGTATTTAATTCTTGAAATAAGTCCTCCAAGCTAGTAAATTTAGGTGAACTGCAACATTGAAATGAATCAGTACACTGAATATAAATAGCTACATATTTAATAATTTTATGTTTGTTTATCTTAAATTACCACACATTGTATATCTATATAGAAATCTATAAAATGAAATAATTTTATTTCTTAGACTAGCACTAATATCAGTGCAAATGCATGACTTCTGTTAAAATGCAATGGAATTAATTTTGATAGATTATTTTTATATCTGTATATATTTGTCTTGTTTGGAGGAGGCAAACACTTTGCTTTAGGAAATATAGACATTTGTTCAATAATATGACAGATATTTATGAGTTTCTTTTATACCAGATTTTATGTCGACTGAAATACAAGATGATAATATAGACTTTGCCTTTAAGACATTTATACTAAACAAGAATCCAACCTATAAATAATAATTTAACCATTAATCAGGCATTCTTTTTGATAACAATATGTATGGGGTGCAAGAAAAATCAAGCAATTATGTTTATTTTTGAAAGTCACAGAGATCTTTCTAGAGTGTTGAAAGCACAAGCTTCAACACTCTAGAAAGAAAGTCTGCAAATGAGAAATCAGTGTTGCAAAGACATGACAGGCAAAGGAAATAGGACTATTGAGTCAGTCATCAAGTATGCATTGAGCATCTACCATATTAGCAGAAATTATGACTTATATCAAAACAAAAGTGGGTGGGGAAGGAGAAAGGTAAATGATTGCACAGATATTGGCCTTCGGGACAATCATTGTGAGTATGTCAAGCCTGCTGACTTATATTAAGTACTAGCCCTCCCTTCTCCCTCTCCCACACACACTTTGGTTGCCAGGCATGGGGATACGTATGTGCACATTTCACACACAAGCTTGTTTCCATATCTGCAGTTTCAAAGTTTCCCTCTCTTAATATAAATTAATTGGGTATACACATGCAAATATACTAACAAATTTCCCAACAGGAGACAGCAAAATTCACATCCAGCTGGGTAATTCAAAGCGATGTTGTAGGGTAAATATACCTGATACCAAAAACTTAATCATATCCTGAATATGACCCTGTATGACACACACATCTGATGTGCGTTCTGAGCTAGAGAATCTAGGCATGACCAACCAGGAGATTTCTTACCTTGTCTACGAAGAACATCTGTGTCTCCTGCCCTGTCAAGTGAAACATGGGCCATACAGGGGCTGGAGGCCCTGAGTGATGGGTTAAATGAAGGTTGCCAGGTGATGGCAATTAAGGGGAGAGTGTTAAGTGAAATGCTATATAAACTGCATGCTGTTTGCAAGTAGTTGTGGTTTCAGGGCCTAGCCTGCCTCCACTGGCTTATGCAATTATGTTGCCCAGCCCACTGCCATTGGACTGTAGCAAGGTGGATATGTTGTCTACCTTACTGCCACTGGACAGTTTCTATATGTAATGAAGTTCTCCTGTCCAGCCTGCAGCCCCTGGACTCCCTCTTCTGTATGTAAGCCCCTAATAAAACCCCCATGTCTCATGAGTTGTCTCCGGGTCTCTTCTTTGGCTTCTTGAATCTGATACCTTTTCTATTGAGATTAATAGGGGCTTGGCACAACAAATGTCAAGAACTATTACTCCCTACATTTTAGGATCTCTAGCTGACACTGTTTTTCTCTTTCAATATCTGATGTACTTTCTCTTGATCCTTATCTTCCAAGCTAAACAAACCAAATATACAATGGTGAAGGAAAATGGTGAAGGAAATTAACAATAAAAAAAACTTCACTCTTAACTTTAAAAATAATTGACAAGTGCCAAAAAATATACACCAAGCCAGTCTATGTTAACATCAGAGACAAGAACACAGATGCCTCATTGGCAATGGAGTGGAATCCTTGGACAGCACATCTGACTGATCATGATTGTACTTGGCAGAGAGGATCTCTTTGTCCAAAAACTCCATGGCAGTTCCTGAGACCAGGGACTTTAGGAGAACTTTGTAGGAGAAAGTTAATAGTCCATTACAGTCAGTCAGCTTTACAAAATCTCAGGAATTACCTTAGGATAACAGCCACCAGCTCTTTGGATTATTTCTGGAAATATAGTTATCTTAATACATTTAGCAGTTCTTTCATTACAGTTTTGGTGACTGCCTTAACTAGTATCAATTTCAGAATTTTATTTATCAGAAAGTTTTTTAAATTAACCTTTAAATAAGGATCTGGTCCTTGGAGGTCATTCCTCATTACCAACAGCTGTGAGAGCTTTGCTGCAGTAATGTCAGCCCTCAATCTAAATGCTTCTCCCTTCCGCCTTCACAGAAATCAAATTTTGGGCTGAGATTGTGTCCTTTTTTATATTTTTTATGATGGATAACATCAATAACAGGATGCAAAACTAAAGCTGATAAGAGGGACTTGGGTAGGGCACAAAAGTGCTCCATTTCTCCAGTTCTTTTAGACCATCCTTATTACTAGGAAATTTTATGAGCTTGGAATTTGGATATACAGCAGATCCTCAGATAACTTTGTTTCCTTCAGTGACATTTCATTATAACATTGATGAGGAAAAAACTCATTCTCAGATGAGGTCACTGTCTTTTTGGAGATTGCATGTTTTCCCCATGTCTGCATGGGTTTTCTCTGGGTACTCTGGTCTCCTCCGACATCCCAAAACAGTGCACGTTGGGTGAACTGGTTGTCTAATTGGCCCCCGTCTGAGTGAATGTCAGGGCATATGTGAGTGCACCCCGACATGGGACGGCTGATTCCCACCTTACTCCTGAGCTGCCAGGACAGGCTCAGGCCACCCATGACCCTGAAATGGAATAACTAGGCAAATAATTTTCTTACTTTTTTTTACAAGTCTTTAAAGAATGTATGTATAGCTCACATTGATTTCAATGTTTAACATTAGAAGCATTTTGGTCTAAAGAAAAATGATTCATTATTTTTTTGTGACTGGAGATATGTCATAGAAACTTAACTCTTATTCATATAAGTATAATAATAATTTTTTTACTTACTTATTTATTATTTATGTAAGTAAAAAAACTTAATTATTTATATAAGTAAAATAAAGTAATTATATAATATAATACAATTATGGTAAAATTGTTGTGATTTCCAAGAACTTGTAAGTTTCTTTATCTAACAGTAATTTTTCCATTTCAATTTACTATTGTTGTTGGTAAGACTATTTCCACCTGGCCTTTGAAATACACAAAGGATATTATTCTGTTAGAGATATTTCATGGGAAATTTTTAACTAAGAGATAAATCATTTGACAGAAGTTACATGACTTATAACTTTTATTTTAAAAAATACATATATTGAAATAAAAAGAGGTGAGTTTTTATCTTTGAAGTCAACAAAGTTTTTGAGAGAAGAAAAATGAGATTTTTTTCAATAAAGAAAAAAATAAATCTCATTCCTGGTGTTGATTTCTAGCATAAAGTGTCCTAAAATAAGAGTATGACTTTGGGCTATTTGATTTACTTTATCAGAGTCACAGAATATTTGAGTTTATATAAACTGTAAGGTCTCTTCTAGCTATAAAATTTTGACCTAATATTTTTAAGATTTATTCTTCCTTATTAGAAGAAAAATATGAAATTGCAGTGATGTGTAACCAATTGTGACACCGAAAATATTGGAGTGAAAAATTATTTTTCTAAGCAACACATTACCATTACTACTACACCCATCTTAATCCCAAGGAAGAGTATGTCACAATTTGCTACATAACAGGAATCTAACTAGCTTATTAACAAATCATTGTTTTTCTCACTCAAGGATTTGTAAATAGGCTCTCTGGCTCTGCTAAGCTTGACTGGATGGACCTGACTCCAAGATACTGGTTGAGCTCGGGTCTTCTCCAGGTCTGTTTTACTTTCCTTGGAGAAGTGACTACCCGAGAATATTCTTTTAATAAAAAAAATCACAGGAGCACAAAAGAGGGCCATCCAAAATGCACACGCACATTTAAAGTCTCTGCTTGTTTAACATCTAATAATATTACTTATTAATAAAAAAAGTCAAATGGTAAAGTATAAAACCAAGTCAAATTCGACTAACTCCAAAGTCATGTGACAAAGGGAAGAGTTGAATAATTTAGAACAATGTATCATTCTATCAAAGAAGAAATTGACAAGCTAGGAAAATTGTATCGTGTAGGGATAGATTACAAATAATTGATGCTCATAACACACCTTTCTTCTCCAATTCACTAGAATCACAATAGAATCATTTGTAGGAATGGATTTTAGAGACCTTCTGATATAACCACACATCAGATCTCTGAATTTCTTTCACAGGAGCCACTGCCTTTCGATATTGATGAGTCACAAGTCTTATGAGCATAGCCTGACCTTTGTCTTCACTTGAACATCTCTAAAATTTTCAATATAATATTTTGACAACCTACTAATATTTTTCCACTTAAACGATCCCATGGGTATAGGTTTTCAACCATATCAATCTCTCTGCTGACCCACTATGTCTCTTTCTATCCGTAGGCACATTTCAAGTCTGGTCTAGCACCCACAGGCCACTATAATTCTAGCCATTACTTGGTAAATACCTTCCACTTCTTGTTTCTTTTTCCTTTGTACTTTTACTGAAAAATCTTGACAAGAAATTACCCCTTCTGCTATCTTCTTAGGTCTTTTATACAAGGACTTAATTATTGTTAAGTTATTGAATATACACAAATAAAGCAGACTGGTTTGGCTAGAAATGCATGATCACAGGGCATAAGTTGGCATGCTTTTGTCCTCACCAATTAAAAATAGGATCTCTATTTTACACCTAAGCAAGATAATTTTATACTACCCCAACTTCCTTAAATCTCTACAATTTTACTTCTGACATGTTTTAAACATATAATTCATTTTTTAAAAGTTAGGATTAATGTACAATTCTTATCTTGTTCTCAATGAGCTTAAGGACCCACTGACTTTCCTTCTATCTTTCCCTTCCCTATTCCAAGAGAAAATACATTTCTCACTAACAAAGGCTAATACCTATCACGATGCTTAGGAATTTTCTCTTTCTACCTTTAGAATGACTTTGTTCTGTTAGTTTTTCTATGCTTTATACCATATGTTTTTCCTTTTCTATTGTATCATTTCCATCAGTATAATGATATGGGTGGTATCTCCTATTCATTAAAATAAAGCAAAGCAAAATTCTCCTAAACCTTAGCTCCATATTCCTGCATAGCTATGTTTTTAATAGTTTATTACAAAACAATTTCTTGAACTGTTTCATTTTGCCAAAATTCCAAATCATTTCATAATATAAACTAGCCTTGCACTGATCAATCCACTGAAACTCTTTTTATCAATGTCGTTAACAATCTCCATGTTTTAAAATCTAGCGAAGCCTCTCTGTCATTTTTACTCACACTATTAGGATTTTAATATATATTTTATCATACCAGTAGTTATGAACTGCCTTCATTTCTTGGCCATCTTACAATACTTTCTCCCTGAGTTTTGTTGTTTTGCTTTTCATACATAAATAGTCCAACCATTTCAACACACTTTGCTTGTTTCTCCTTTATTACCTAATATATAAAGGTACAGATATTTCAGGACTCAGTACTGTAAGTTCATGTTTTATTTTGCTATGCTTCCCATGGATGTAAGTGTCACCTGTGGTCTGACATTTCTCAAATATATATAAGATAATTATATACTATGTTCATATAATTATAGAGGATGCATTTGCATACACTCAAATAAAATAAAAATAAAAAACAAGAAAGTTTAAGCTTCCCTCAGAAAATTATAAACTAAAATGTATCCTAATGGCAATTTCTAAGTTAGTGCTGGATGTTTGGCTTGAGAATCTAATATAGCTCTCTGTGCTATTATATTTTCAATTCATGAATTGTGAAAATTAGAAGTAATTTAATGCTAATTATATTAAATTGCTAATCTCAATATTAAAATATGTCATTTAGAATTCAAATTATCTTAATCAGTTATAAAAACATAGTTAATTGTCATATTCTGAATAAAACAATATAAGTACAATTATCATTTTGTATCATATCAGTTCCTAGAAATGAATCCACTTTCAGAAATGATTATTTATTCCTTTTCCATTATCTGAAATATTGTATTTATAGCTAACCCATGGCTCTAAATTAAAAATACTATCATAGAATGATACTTGATAAAATTGTATATGCACACTTTGATTTTATTTTGTTTTTTTCTCTATACATGTAAAAATACTAAATATTTAACTAATGACCTGTGAAGGGACAAGTGAAAATTCAATAAATTATCATTTTCTTTAAATTGGAAATGTTTAGACTTTCTCACAAATGAAACCCTACATCATGTTTATTGCTGATTATTTTTAAATTAGTAGCAGCTATGGGAAAATTATTTCACTTGAAATCCATACTGTTATTAAAGCTAGTAATGCTATAACACAATTAATCATGTGTGCCCTGAAAGTTTCTGTACATGTAGATAAAGGTAGAGTGAAGAATGACAGCAATCACAAAAGTCTATAATTTTGGTGTAGGCAGTTGCAAACAATTAGCTAACACATACGATTGCTTACTTTATATATAAAAACATGATTCTCAGTGCTTTTATGCCAGTTATCACATAACCCCTTCAGATCAATTCTTCAATCTCTTTGCTCTCTTAGGAACTGAGCTTCTTGGACTGTATCTGTGGGCTCTGTTACATCTGGTTCTCAATTGAATTCAGCTAAAAGAAGTCATGCCACAATGTAAAAGAGAAGGAAAAGAGTAAGAACAGATTACTTATTCCAGTAGCCCCACTTCAGCATAGTAACTTTGGACTGGTTGGGTCCTCCAATTCCTAGATCCTCTCAAGAAAATCAATACAACTCTCTCTAAAAACGTGTTAGCAACTTTAACTTCCCCAAATCCTTTTACATTTTGAGCAGCAACATTGCTGCTATTTGCTAGTCCAGGAAAAACTGAGACATCCCTTGTGAATTTTCTTCATCCTTCTCATACATTTAAATAACTTCTTTTTTATATACACTTTCTGTCATTCTTACTTCAGTGTACAAACTTTTATTTCCTGATTGATACAGTCATAAAAAAAACCCATTTATGCCTGAGGTTGCAGTTTTTTGAATGTTTGTAATCAGCCTTTGGCGATGACCTTGAGCAGTAGGATATAAATAACTCCCACATGCTTAGCATTCCAATAATGGAACACTAGGCATAATTTGGCTGAACAGGGTCAGGTCTCACTCTGTTGCCCAAGCTGGAGTGCAGTGGCCTGATCTCAGCTCACTGCAGACTCGACCTTTGGGCTGAAGCAATCCTCCCACCTCAGCCTCCTGAATAGCTGAGACTATAGACATGCATCACCATGCCTGGCTAATTTTTGTGTGTTTTTTTTTGTTTTTTTTTTTTGTAGAGATGAGGTTTTGCCAATTTGCCCAGGCAGCTGTTGAACTCCTGGGCTCAAGTGATCTGTCTACCTCAGCCTCCCAAATTGCTGGCAGTAGAGGAATGAGCCATCATACTCAGCAGAAACACTTTTTAATCTCCGTTTTGCAGATTACAGATGAGGCACAGAGGGTTTAGGTCACACAGTTGGTATGTGGTGGAAATGAGATACAAATCAGTTAATCTGGCATTAAATAACAAGATTGAATCAACAGCCACACATACACAACACACATTCTGTATACACACAGAAAAACTGCAGTCATGCCAGTATTATAGAATTATTTTAATAACCTCCTACAATAAAAAAATAGTTTAGGAATAGACACTTGCATTGATTGCTCTAGTGCTTCTAATAATATTCTATGGGAAATATTTTAAAGTGAGGTTATGGACTTTGAAATGACCAAATTTGGTAAAGGGCATATAGCCAGTTAAAGTTTCTAGTGAAGTTTATAACAAACTGACATGAGCCATCATAAAGGGCATGATTACATTAGTCCTTTGATGATCACAGTAGGAATTAGCAGAAAGCATTTGAGTATTGTAGGGAGAAAAGGGTGGGATGTCTTGCCAGAAGCACACAGAGCTGTGGGACTTAGGGCAGCAGAGGCTTCTTCTTGCTCTGAGTAGTTGGGACTCTAGACTCTTGTTAATGGCAGATTGCAGGCAGATAATCTTTTCTCAACAACCCGGGATCCCACTGGACTTCTAAATAATTAAGCATGATATGACTAATGAACAAAAAAGGATATATTCTCTTAGATATCATGTATAACTAAAAGTTGAATTCTTTACTGAAGACAAGAAAAATGTTGTGAAAAATATCAATCTTTTCTGATGGCCACTGATTAAAAGGGAAATTAAACTCACAATTTTAAGGGGTAATTTCTCAGCTTGCTTGTAGCTAGTAATCTTGGTAAAATCATTGCTAGTGGGCCAACTAGCCTTTCCCTGGTGACTGGCCCTTCTACTGGGTTTCACTCTGAGGGAACAAGCCTTTCCCTAATTTCTCAAATAACATATCTTATTGTGAGACTTACTGAAAGTTCAATGAAACTGACATGAAATTGTAATACAGATGCCAATTTACATTTCTGCACAAGCCTTTGTAACATTTAAAATATGACTTCTTCAAGCATCTTTATACATATACATTTGTACCAAATATATCCACTACAACATAAAGCAAATTAATTGTTTTCTAATCCCAGGATGAGATTGAATTTTTGATATGAACATTCTTTGATATAAGAATAAATTATAATTCATCAAACGCTTTTTATTTTTACTTTTTTTTCTCTGCTCTCTCCCTAGGTATCATAAACCAAGTACAAAGAAAATAGTTCAAAAATATATTATCTCCAATCTAGATATTCAGAATCCCTTCAATGACTTTCAGGTTTGTAAACACAAGTTTCTACATGCAAGTTTGTACTTGACAATTCCACTGGAGTTCCCAAATTTACCTCAAATTGAGACGTCTAAATAGAATACCATAGTCTTCTAACCCTTAATAATGCTATACTCTTCTAAAGTAATAGGAAAATAAAACTGTTCAAGAAGAAATAATATTAGCAGTGTCTCCAGCCACAAGAAGTCAGCAAAGTGATAAAATAGAAAGCGTACTTTTTTTTTCCTAACTGGCACCAAAATCCTTCCTATTACCAAAAACAATGAGAGTCATCCTTGATATTACATGTGCCCATATTAAGTCTGTCACCAAATTCAGACCTCTGTCTATATAACTTTGGAATTAATCAACTTGTCTCCATTCCTTGACATTACTCTATTCTCAGCTACCATCATCCATCAGACTACTGCAGTTGCCTGGTAACTAGTTTTTTTTTGTTTTGTTTTTTCCATCTTCTCTGCACCCTCTCTATATTGTAGTAACCTATACAACCAACTAATCTTTCAAGACTGTTGATTATTACATCCCAGATTATAAATGAATTAAGCTAAGTCAATTGTTCTTTAGGTGGCGACCCGGTCTTGCACATACCAACTTCTTTCTCCTTTGCATATCTAATACCATATATCCTTATTCTCCGAGTAGTCTGATTTCCTTTGCATGATAAAATATGCCATATCTCCATTCTCTGCCTCTTCTAGATCTTTGCTATTTTGCTTGCTGGAAATCTCTTATGTGCATTTGGTTTAGTGATTCTCCTCCCCTATCACATATTGGGTCATTCACTATCATTGCTTTCTCCTGGACATCTTTTCTGACCTCTTTAACTAGGAAATGTGTATCTCTACCAACCCACTTATCCTATTTCTAATTTTATATTTATTTGAGTAATCATTTGACGGCTATCTGTTGTATCCAGTATACTTAAGCACCACGTGGAGAAGGTTCATGGCCTGTTTGTCTCTTTGTTCACAGTATTATCCTCAGCGTACAGCATAGTTCCATACACATTTAGTGTCTTACCTTATATTTGTTGTATAAATAAAATAATAAAAGGACACCCAGCAATGCAAAAAATTTGTTCTCTCTGGTGACATTTTTATTTAAATAATAGATACAATTTCATCCTAAAATTAAAATAAGCCTTTTACATTAAGGTGAAATTTACACATTTGCAAAGCTGGATTTTTCAATGTTATTGTCACTTTGTTACATCATGAATTATCATCAACATTATTGTTGTTACTATTGTTTCTGTTTTTCAAAAAAACATTTGTTTATAATTTTTATTGCTCAAAATGCCTAGCAATATGCTGATCAGTAACTGAATTGCATTAGTTGTTGCTTTGTTTATTTATATTCTTGAAATTAATAAAGTATCTCCATAATTTCTTCAGGTTACAGAGGATATTTTCCTATTAATGAAATCAACTCAGAGCTCCTTAACCAGGTAAGATGGAACTGCATTAAATATCAGAGATTGATATGCTTATTTTAAATAAATATTTCATTTGTATTTGCCGAAATAATATAACATTTCATGTTTAATATTTCAAATATTCAATATTGAATATGTTACATATTTGAAAGTATTAAATATGTACAAATCTCTAATGGTTGAATAAATCTGCAAGTACTGAAAATATTAAACATCCTTTAAATCAATAACTATACTTGAAATGTAAAATCTATCTACTTTTTTTCCTACTTATATCCAGGAACATAAACATACTCATTTACATGTTTACTTGAACAGGTAGATGAACATTAGGTACTCAGTATATCTGGTTTGACTTGGCTGTATTACATATATTTAAATTTGTTTACATACGCTCAGAATAATCGAGAAAGAAAATATGTAAGAAAAAAAGAGTGTATATTTAGGAATGTTTATATTGGCCTCTGCTTTTTGGAACAAAAGTACCCATTTAAAGCTCTACAGGTAATAATGTGTTATTTTCCTGCAAATACAAAGCATGATTATTCTATTTTTAAAAGTGAATTTGTCTTCTTAATATCATTGACATGATGCATGTCACCTAAAATTAATTTTTAAATTGAATTTGATACTTTATTCCATGGAATTTTAAATTCTGCACATACGTAAAAGAAATCCTTCAATGTTCCTATTGCTCAATATTTTCTTTCTCATAACAGATTAAGTTGGTTTGTAGAGAATCACTTGTAGAATTTGATCCACTTTCCACTTATCTAAATAAGGTGTGTTCATGGTATTTATCTACATTTAGAGATCTGTTATATAATATTTCTATAGAATATTACTATCCACACACACATCCACTGCATGTACTTTCATCAAAATTACGTTTTCTTTCATTTTTCTCTTTTTAAAAAACAATTGGAGGTGAAACATATTGAAAAATAAATAAATAATATAAAACAACCTAACATCACTATCCTAAATAAGGTCTTTAATAGCATCATTTATATACTTAGACATGTGAAAGGAAAGTAGAAACTTGGGACTCCAATTCATTATGCCAAAAGAAAAACATTAAGCTGAAAGCTGAGACATTCAAGAAGCTGCCTTTCCTTTTACAATATTTCTAAGCAGATAGCTAAAGATAAAAAAATTAAGTATCTCCTAAGGTAGCTACTCGACGTTCAGTTTACCTTATGTAAAGTACCAATTTACTGAGCAAGAGACGAATACATAATTGATTATTTACCATACTGACTCCTTTTCACTTGCAACATGTGGATTACCATATACTCCCTCTTTGCCCTCCATCCCACCATTCCCCTTTAAATATTGAAGGCCTCAAAATAATATTTAGAAAAAGGCAAGACCACACAGACTGTCACTGTAATTCTCTGTTCATTTCTTCCAGGCATGTCCTTAACCTTGGCAAAATAAACTTCTAAATTAATTGAGACCTGTTTCACCTAGTTTTTGGCTTACAGATACTTGAAAAGAACAGAAACATAGTGTATTATTTCCCTATTGCTACAGTAACCGATTGCAGCAAACTTAATGCTTCACATGCCATCCCATCTGGAACATTCCCAGAGGGTATGGCGTCCCTAGCACCGTGCCCACACCCATAATGGCTGCTGATTGCATGGGAAGGCCCCACCCTTTGCTCCCTTGGATTCCTTTTCTCTGCCATCCTCTTGTGGAGGGTTCCTCTGCAGGGAATGTACCCATTAACAAGACCACAGAAGAAAAAGAAAGAGAGAATTTCACACTCCATTGTTTCAGATCAACTTTAACACTTAATGTCTTCAAATTTCATTTTTAAAAGTAATATATGAATATTTATAATAAAACAAAATATATTTTTATATTAAAGTATATTAAACACATATAAATATATAAAACATATGTTAAATCCCAAATAAATATTGTCATATTTTAATAATATTTATAAGATATTATAAAATATTGTGTTATAAGTTTATAACATATTATAAAAATATAATGATGTATTTGGAAGTTTTTAGGGAAAAGGAATTTTTTTTCTCTTTTTGGTTTAATAAAATTTGGTGTGGAAAAAATTTAAATGATATAATGCCTGGCTTGCCCCATTTGGGCAGCTGCTTTCAAGGGGGATGTTATACCAGGCTGAAGATCCTCCTCACATCCCAAGGACTCCCTTTTTTTCTGGCTCCTTCCCTTTTTTATGATAAGTTAAGAGCTGTAACTATTTGGAAACTCAGGGTCTTTTTTGTTTTTTGGGGAGAAGCGTAGGTTTTGTGGTCCAGGGCATTTTTATCTTATGTTGAAAATAGATAAGGGAGAAAGGAGAAGAGGAGGGATCCTCTCCTCTCCCACATTCATCTTCAGCTTCTTGAAAATGGGCTTCTGCAGAATAAATCTGAAGTTTTCACTTCAAAAAGTTCAAAATTTTATAAATTCATTTTAAAAAATGAAAAAAATGTTTTAAAAACAACATGAATTAATTATCTCACAGGTCAGATGTTTAAAATGCTTTTCCTGGGCTAAAATCAATATGTTGCCAGGACTGTGTTTCTTATGGAGACTCAAAGAGAAAACTTGTTTACTTTTCTTCTCTAGCCTCTAAAGGTTGTGCACATTTCTTGGCTTGTGATCTTGTGTCACCTTACCTCTCTTTTCATTTTCACATCTCATTCTTTGATGCAGACCCTCCGAACAATATGGATAATCTCATCTCAAAAGTATTAATTTCATCACATCAGCAAAGTCCATATACCATATATGGTAATATATTTGTAAGTTATAGGAAGTAGGATGTGGACATGTTTGGAAGACCATTATGAGATCTACCACACTTAATACAAACTAGTAAGTCTTGTAGCAAATAAACCTAGTATATTTAATTCAATGCATTTTTTATAGAACAGAAACCTATTACCTGCTGAAATTAATTAGTATTTCAAGTAAATTGTGTTTCCTCCAACATCCTTTGGGAAAAAAAAATTAATAATCAGTAAATATGTTTAAAGTAATTTAAAGAGTTAGAAAGCAACTAAAAGAATACAGTAAAATAATATGTAAAATACAATTTTAAATTATATGATTAAAATGAAAATAAAAAATAAATTAATAATGAATAAGCCATTAAAACAATCACTGAAACACTTTCTGGTGACATAAAGTCAAGCAATATCACTTTAAAGATATGCTAATCAAAGATAAGGTAATATAAATTACAGAATATGCCCAAAGTATACGTGACCTTGAGACAGATGCAACCACTCAAGAAGGTCATCAGATAGCTTTACCTGGCAGGAATTCAATGTGGGAAGCCCTGTTGGCTTTGTTCACAAAAAACTAATACAAGGTCTCTAACCTGAGCTTGGAAATACATTTTGAGTAATTTGGAGGTAAATGAATTCAAATAATTAAATATTAAATGAAAGTCATTATAGACTTTTCAGCCTCTGGGGATTGTGTTATATTTTCTATTTGTTTTTCCAGAAAGCATGCTCAAATGGATTAGCTTAAAAAATAAATAAATAAATAAAAAATTGACCACTAGATAAATAGATAAATAACTGTTTCCAGGGTAGGGTAGTAAAACATAAGATAGGTGTGGAATATCATGTCATGCCAGAAATAAGAAATTACTCAAACAGACAAACAAAAATAGGTATATCAAAGGCACTCAGGTGCCACACTCTAAGAGCATGAGTATTCAAGCAAAAAATAATTTGAGCAACAAATAACATAGTAGTGAATTCTAATGCAAAATTAACATAATAAGCATGAGTCTATATTGACATGAATACTAGGGTCACAAAAAAGAAGGCAGGGAAAGATGGGACAAATCTTCCTTTTGGAAGAATTAGAAATAATCTACATAATTACTCTTTGAATGTGAGCTTGACTTCGTGATTGGATTCCAAAGAACTGAGAAAAGGAAAAACAGTAACAGGATACTTCACCTCTGTGAATTATCTCCAAAAATATATAACTTCTGTCTAAGCATGAGAAAAACAATAAACTTATCTTGAGAAACATTCTATAAAAACTGGACCAGTTCTTAAAACTATTAAAGTCACGAGAAATAAGAAAGACTAGGAATCTTTCATAGACCACTAGAGATAAAGATAATTGATGTCTCAAAGTAATATGGATCTTGGAATATAAAAGGGCTATAATGGAAAAATCTAGTGAAATACAAATAAAGATTAGAGTGTAGTTAACACTAATGTAGCAAAATTGTTTTCTTAGTTTTGATAAATGTATCCAGATTATATAATTTAATAATACCAAGAGAAAATGAATAAAGGGTAGACAGAAACTCCTTATAAAATCTTTGCAACTTTTCCATAAATCTAAAATTATTCTGAAGTTAAACATTTATTTAAAAGAAAATAACCTTAGCTTTATAACAAATATTCATAATGCTGTCTTAAATAATATTTTAAAAATTAATTTGAATTCTTATCTAAATGATCATGGTTTCAATAAGCATTCTTAAAATGTTTTTGTATTAATAATAACTATTGCTTGTTTATTTTTCTGGATACTGTCTCTCCTCTAATGTAAAGCTTTTGGCTTAATTAAAAATCTAGAATATGAGATTAATAAAAAATTCTAATAATTCATTTTACTTCTGTAAGTATGACAGATATTCAGACTTTTCATCAGACAAATATCATCATACATATTTTGAATGTTAGTGTTGTGCAGACAATTTTGAATTTGCCAAATAAACCATAAATTGTTATCTCTGTAATGCTGAATGTCATAACGTTTCTCTAACGATGTTTTTGTAGGGAGGAATTTTTTATTATTACACATATTTTATTTTAACTTTCATTGCAATATAAATGAAACAAAGATAGAAATTGCTTAATAAAAATAAATACTTCCATCACGTTGCCAAAGATAGTAGCATTGATTTATTGTCCATTTTATGCAAAATATTATGGAAAGTCTAAGATAAAAAATTCCCATACAATTGTAAATTTAGTTATTTTAATTATATTTTTAGTAATAAAACAATTGTTATTCAATTGGATAATATTGTATTAATACAAATATTGATATAACTATTTATGAAAATAGTGATAGATTATGAATAAATATTATTAGAATTTTTCCCAGGTAAAATAGAAACGTCTACACACACCATGGCTGGCACAGACAATGCTTGATTTCATATCATTTCCTGCCTACTCTCAATCCCTTCTCATAATGATTACTACTAGCTTCAGATGGCTGAATATAAATATAGCATTTTGTAAAGCTTTACAGGAGCAATATTTTAATAATATGTGATCGTACACAAAAAACTGGATATAAAAAAATTTAATTTTAAGAAAGCAAACAATGAAAAATGTATAAAAATCTTTGTACATATTTTGAAAATGTTTTGTTACTTTTCCCTAAATAATATGTAAACAAGGTGATATAACATCCTGTCTCTTCCCATTATGCAGCTTAGTGTGAACTTCAATTAAATAGCATTTTCCTCAAGAATTAAACATTTTTTAAAAACTAGAAAATAATGATAACTAATATAGAAGAGACATAATGTATAATGAATTAAAGACTAGATTATTGGTAAATAATGAAAGATTTCTATATGTTTCTTTTTTATGGAAGGCTATTAACTTCTTTTTTTCTAGAAAAGTCATAGATTTGAGATTTAGAAAAATAATAGGCTTCTATCTCCCAGATACAAGTTATTTTAAAAGCAATAACATGATTACGTTTCTTTGTTCCAGCATTACCTTACAAATAAATAACACATTTTAGTCTATGTAACTTTATTCTACTAAATAGTTATTCTTGTTGATATGAATATGAACATACTTTATTATAAAATTATCATTCAGCTTAAATATTTATTTGTTAATGTTGGAAATATAATTTGCCTTTTATATATTTTTTTATATATTTTTTTCTGAAAGCTGGAATGAGAAAATTTTTCTGTATAAATGAAACCAAATGTGTCTATCAAGGGGAGAAATGAACAGACAACGGTCTCGTTTCTGGGAATGGAAAATGGGCAAAAGTCTGCAATCATTTTTATAAATCATTCCTATAATTTCGGGAGTTTATAAGTTGTAATATAATATAAAAACATTATGAAACCTACATCTATAATTTAACACTACTATATAATAATTATACATATCAGCATTTTATTAAAACAGTCCACTTCATGATTTTAATAATATTTGAATATGCCTAGAGCTAAATTTATTGCAATGTTTGAATCATGTCAACATTTTCTAACTGAATGGCTTTCTGTCTTTGGGGGATAAAGGAAAAAAAGGAGCCTTGACACACACTATATTAAAGAGTATGTATCAATGACAAGCTTTTGCTAGGATAGAGACAATCCTGCCATCCTCTTGAGTATCTGATTGACATAACTTTTCCTACTTTTATACTCTTGAATACTCCCTCAATATACAGAAATTCACCTATAATGTAAAATAAACAACATGAGTTGTTTGTACAAAAGTCTGTTTGAAGACAATGCTGATTGGGAGTGAGCAGAAGGCAAAGATGGACAAAGGGGAAAAAATGAAAAAATAAATGAATAGAAAAGAAGGAAACACAACTGCTCCAATTAATCAAATTGCTGAACAATATTTGTACACAACAGACTGTCTCTCCATTATACACTTTCATTATACATCTAATAACTATAAGACTTAAAATAAAAGTCCTGTTCTCATTACCGATGCCTTGCAGAATCTACAGAGGGGCAGGAGGTTACTTAAAACTCACACTTGCTCAGGACCCTGCAAGTATTTCCAGTCACTGCTGTCTTTGAATAAATCTCCAACTACTTCCACTAGTTCTTGTCCCACTGTTAGATGACTATTCCTTAGATACATCAAGGAATTAGAGGCCAGGCGCAGTGGCTCACGCCTGTAATTCTAGCATTTTGGGAGGCCGAGGCGGGCGGATCACGAGGTCAGGAGATCGAGACCATCCTGGCTAACACGGTGAAACCCTGTCTCTACTAAAACACAAAAAATTAGCCGGGTGTGGTGGTGGGCGCCTGTTGTCCCAGCTACTTGGGAGGCTGAGGCAGGAGAATGCCGCGAACCCGGGAGGCGGAGTTTGCAGTGAGCGGAGGTCACGCTACTGCACTCCAGCCTGGGCGACAGAGCAAGACTCTGTCTCAAAAAAAAAAAAAAAAAAAAAAGATACATCAAGGAATTAGAATGAAACAAGGCATTCCTAGTAAATTAGTTGCTCAAAGCTGATGATTGAAAGTAATGTAATGTAACTTTTCCATCTACTAAGCTATTGTCAGGGGGCAAAATATGTTCAACTTACTCTTTAGGGATATGCCTTTTTGCAAAAACCAAACCACAACCCAATTAGTGGCTGTTATGTGCGGAAATGCCATTCTTCATTTGACTTTACTCCATGAGATTCATTTTTTCCTGTTCTACTTCACCAGTTTATAGTTAGGAGATACAAAGTATCATGTTTTTATCCTGCTTTTATTTTTATTTATTTACTTAGAGACAGAGTGTCACTCTTGTCCAGGCTGGAGTGCAGTGGTGTAATCTCAGCTCACTGCAACCTCTGCCTCTCAGGTTCAAGAGATTCTTGTGCCTCAGCCACCAGAGTAGCTGAGATTACAGGCACACGCCACCACACGTAGCTAATTTTTGTATTTTTAGTAGAGATAGGGTTTCACCCTGTTGGCCAGGTTGGTCTCGAATTCCTGAACTCAGCTGATCCGCCCACCTCTGCCTCCCAAAGTGCTGGGGGGTTACAGGCATAAGCCAGCACACACAGCCTATCCTGCTTTTAAACAAAACTATTATATGCAATTTGAAAATAAAATGCATATAACTCAAAAATTTATAGGACAAAAAGATTACTGCAAGATTTTGAAATATTCTTAACATTGTGCCCTTTTTATTTACTTTTATAGCTTCTAAAAATGCATTTGTGATAAAAAGGATGTATAATTTTATGCAAAACAATCATTCAAAATACAATACTAATAAAAAAGTCTTATATCTTTTTTTGAAGTTTCCAAGTAAATGATTTTATGCTTGTGTACCCACAGATATTTAGAGTTCAAATACTGTTAAATAACAGAATGGTTAAAAGCGTGATCTTCGAGTTCAGAGAAACTTCCTTAAGGTTCCATATAAACCATTTGCCAACTCTGAAACTTCCATTAAGTTACTTAACTACTCAACACTTCAGCTTCCTCACATGTAATAGTTGAGTGGATTAAATGACATAAGGCATGTAAAATGCTTAGCCCACTTTGCATGGCATATTACCTGTGCAACAATATTTGAAGAGGCTATTATTATTTTAAATGTACATTACTGACAAATGTGATGAATAAAGAGATACAAATGCACTTTTCTTTTTATGAAAAGTGACAAAGTATTCTTAGAGAATTATGTCCAAAGCATTTTAAGGAAATTAAATTTCAGAATCACTTTGAGTAATATTTTTCATATATATATATATATATATCCTGAAACTATTTTGTGTAAATGAACTGTAATGTGAAATCCCATTCACTATTGATGTGAAATTCCATTCAATATAAGAAACTAACTTCAAATTTCCTCTTACTGCTAGGTTGGTATGAAATGATTCTTTGGCAAAACAATATAAACACAAACTCTGGAGAAAATATGTGGAAATTCAGTATGTTCTATAAATATATATTATTCTGTATTTCTCTGTTATGCTTCTTTAAAATTGATGAATATTTGAAGATCTTGGGCACCTAGCATTTGAAGAAAATTAAATCCAGAGAATGTTAAAGGTGTGGAAATCCTGCAATCCCTGCCCCAGTGTAAAAACCTTTAAAGACTTTCTCTATAATCCACATTTTCCTTTACAATGTATTCTGAAGCTAAGAAGTTTATTTTAAGCATTCTGATTTATCAGGTTAAGTCCTTCAGTATATTATTGGGAAAACTGTTGTTTTTAACCAATTTAGCTGATACTTTCTTCACTGAATTCTATCAATTTTTCACTAATCTTTCTTATCTTAGATCCGTTCTTCATAACTTGTTGCTCTGAGATTGCTAATACCCCATTAATGATTAAAATTTATAAATTTTAATTTCAAATAAGCATTGTCTAACTTATATCAGCTAGTATATCATCACATTTGTATGAATACAACAGTAGAACTAGGAAAATGTTATGACATTTTTCAGGCATGCATTCACCAAAACAATATTTACATCTAATATGAAAATTAATTCTTTCCTTCTGTCTTTTTTCCCACAAATCACTCTTTCTCTCTTTATCCTCTTCCCCTCTCTCTACCTCTCCTCTTTCTGTCTTTCTTTCTGCCTTTCTGTATATGATTTATCAGTTTTTCTCCATCTTGATCTCTCTCTCTCTCTCTGTCACACATACACAACCTATAGTAATATGACAATATAAAAAGTAAAAAGCAGGAAGACTGTTTTGAATATGATGATACAAATAATCTCACTCTGTAAGGTATCCAATGCCTTCAATTTTTCCACTATGCTACTAATTATGTCCTTGAGGTTGAAAATAAGGTACCAGTGTGACACTACATTTTCAGTATACAAATGTCAAAAATATTTTCAAAGTCAAATGAACTAAAAGGCAAATTATTGTTTAGATAAATGAAGACAATGCAACAATCTGTCATGCATAAATGCAATTAATTGTGCTGTATGACTAAAGAAGGTCAGAGATAAGCAGTCTGCTTCTGTCAGCATTTGTAAGACACTGAACATTTCCCCCCAACTAAATTAATCAATGCCTATTTCCTTATAATATTACTAACTCTATACTACCCATTACACAATAACTCTTTAACGTAGCTGCTTCTATTGATATGACTTTAACTGCTTATAAGGAAAATAATATTTTCCAAAATTATTGGTATGTGATGAACTAGAAAAGGTGTAGAGCTTTTTCAAAAATATAGAACTTCTCTTTCATCATTTTTTAAAAGTTAGTTTCTTTCCATTAAATATCATTTAAAATCTAATTACTTTCCTCTCAAATTTTTTAAAATATCTAATTTTGAAACTAACATATATATTATTCAATAAATAAGTGATATATAGTGTTAAATCCTAGAGAATTGTATTGGAAAATGAAAACATGACCTGAGTTTGTAGAAGTCATTCTGCTGTTGAACAATTGTACTTAATATGTGAATCTGTCTATATGTATTTCAGGTCTCAAACATAAAATTACAAAATTAGTCTCTTAAAAAAGCAAAGATAGATAAAAGATTGAGTTGGAATATAAGAGACACATGTTTGTATGTATTTTTGGTGGTATAAATATTTATGTATTTTGACACTATGTTTTTCATGCTATATCACCTTATATTTACTGTACTTATTCTCCCAGAAATTGAGATCTTCTCTGTATGCCTATCTAACCCAGATGGTTAGTAATAAGTAGGAACTATGAACAACAACAGAAAGGATTAATGTGATACCTCAAGTTCATTTAAAGATATATATTATAATCTAGACTTTAAAATCACCATTGACTTATTACCCAAATCCCATCAAGAAGCAGGCAAGATGAGATTGGGCACTTTCAGGGTGGTAAAGCTTGAAGAAAAAAAAGAAACGACTAAAATCAGAGGGGAGCTGAATGAAATGGACACCCCAAAATCCAGATAAAACAACAGTAAAACCAAAACTTGGTCCTTTGAAAGAATAAACAAAATCAAAAGACTGCTAGCTAGATTAACAAATGTAAACAGAAACAAGATCCAATAAACACAATTAGAAATGAAAAAGTGACACTACAACTGATCCCACAGAAAGATGAAAGGTCCTCAGAGACCTTTGATTGAACCAGGAAGAAATGGAAACACCGAGCATACTAATGTCGAGTTCTGAAATTGAATCAGTAATGAAATAAAACAAAAACTAACAACCAAAAGAGCTGTAGACCAGATACGTTCCCAGTTGAATTCTACCAGAGGTACAAAGGAGGACTGGTACTAACTCTGCTGAAACTATTTCAAAAAATTGAGGAGGGACTCCTGCCTAATTCATTCTACAAAGCCAGCACCACCCTGACACCAAAAGCTGGCAAAGACACAACAAAAAGAGGAAAACTACGGGACAATAACCCTCATGAACATTGATGCAAAAATCTTCAACAAAATACTAGCATAACAAATTCAGCAGCACATCAAAATGATGATTTACAATGATAAAGTAGGCTTCATCCCTGGAATGCAAGTTTCAACATACACAAATCAATAAATGTGATTCACCCTAAAAACAATTAAAAACAAAAACCATAATATCATCTCGATGGACACAGAAAAAGCTTTCAATGAAGTCCAACATTCCTTCATGTTAAAAATCTTTAAGAAACTAAGCATCCGAGGAACATATCTCAAAATACCAAGAGCCATCCATGACAAACCCAAAGCCAATATCATATTGAATGGGTAAATCTGAAATCATTCCCTCTGAGAACTGGAACAAGACAAGGATGCCCACTCTCACCACCATTATTCAACCTAGTACTGGAAGTACTAGCCAGAACAATCAGGACAGAGAAAGAAATTAAAGGCATCCAAACAGGAAAAGAACTCAAACTCTTCCTTTGTGAATGATATAATTCTATAGCTCAAAAACCATAAAGACTCCATCAGCAGGCTCATGGGGGAGATAAATAACTTCAGCAGTTTCAGGTTACAAAATCAATGTATAAAACTTCGCAGCATTTCTTTATGACAAAACTGTTCAAACTGAGAGCCAAAATAAGAACTCAATTCCATATGCAATAGCTCACAAACGTCCAAACAAATTACCTAGGAATACATCTAACCAATGAGGTGAAAGATCTCTACAAGGAGAACTACAAAACCACTGTTAAAATAAACCACAAGAGACAAAAACAAGTGGAAAAGTATTCCTTGTTCATGGATTGGAAGAATCAATACTGTTAAAATGACCACACTGCCTAAAGCCATCTATAGATTCAGCACTATTCCTATCAAACTACCAATGTCATTTTTTACAGAATTGGGAAAAAACTATTCTAAAATTCACATGGAACCAAAAAAGAACCCAAGTAGCCAAACTAATTCAAAACAAAAAAACCAAAGCCAAAGGCATGACATTAATTGACTTCAGACTGTACTGTAAGGCTATAGTGACCAAAACAGCATCGTACTGGAACAAAAACAGACAAAAAGACCAATAGAACAGAATAGAGAACCCAGGAATAAGGCTGCACAACTATAGCCATGTAATCTTTCACAAAGTTGACAAAAATAAGCAATGTGAAAAAGACTCCCTATTCAACAAATGGTGCTGCGATAGGTAGCCATATGCAGAAGATTAATACTCAACCCTTAACTTTCACCATATAAAAAATTAACTCAAGATGGATTAAAAATGTAAATGTAAGACCTACAACTATAAAAACCCTAGAAGAAAACCTAAGAAACATCATTCTGGACATGGGTTTTGGGAAAGCGTTTATGACTAAGTCCTCTAAAGCAATTACAACAAAAACAAAAATTGAGAATTGGGACCTAATTAAACTAAAGAGGCTTCTGCAGAGCAAAAGAAACTATCAGCAGAGCAAATAGATAATCTAAAGAACAGCAAAAAATATTCACAAACTATGCATCAGACCAAAGTCTAATATCCAGAATCCATATAAGAAATTTAAACAATTGAACAATCAAAAAACAAAAAAAAACCCTGTTTTTTAAAAATAGGCGAAAGATGTAAACAGACACTTCTCAAAAGCAGATGTATAAGTGGCCAAGAAACATGAAAATGTGCTCATCATCACTAATCATCAGATAAATACATATCAAAACCATAATGAGATACCATCTCACACCAATTGGAATGGCTACTATTTAAAAGCTAAAAACAACAGAGGTTGGTGAGACTGTGGAGAAAAGGGAATGCTTATACACTATTGTTGGAATTGTAAATAAGTTCAGCCACTATGGAAAGAAGTTTTGAGATGTCTCAGAGAACTTAAAACAGAGCTACCATTTGAGCCAGCAATTTCATTACCGGTTATATATCCAAAAGAAAACAAATTATTCTACCAAAAAGACACATGCACCCATATATTCACAGCAGCATTACTCACAATAGCAAAATCATGGAATCAATCTCGGTGCCAATCAATGGTGAATCAGGTAAGGAAAATGTGTCACGTATACACCACGGAATACTATGCAGCAATTAAAAAGAATAAAAACATATCCTTTGCATCAACATGGATATAGCTGAAAGCCATTACATAAGTGAACTAACACAGGGACAGAAAACCAACTACCACATTTCCTCACTTACAAATGGGAGCTAAACACCACATTCTCATGGATATAAAGATGGCAATAAATGACTAAGGGGACTAGTAGATGGGGAAGAGAAGGAGGGGACAAAGATGAAAAAACAAATTGATGGATATTATGCTTGGTACCTGGGTAACAGGATAATTCATACCAAAAACTTTAGCATAACACAATATGCTCAGGTAACAAACATGCACATGTACCACTGAATATAAAATAAAAGTTGGTACATAAAGGAAAAAAAAAATCAGGCAAAAAGTTTAGTACTTTAATGCTTAATTATTGTATGTTTGGATCTTTATGATCAATAAACCCTCATATTTCTTGGTGACAAGTCCAAAGCTTTACTTTTGAATATTCCAAGTTTCCCAATTGATATATGATAGGAAGTTAAACTCCTTTTGGAGATGTAAAAGGGCAGTAGCAAAAAGAACATGGAGAACATAATTTTTTTTGGAAAGATAAATCATATGATAACAAGATTTACAAATAAAATCTATGTGCAGACTGAGGAATATTAAATACTTTTGGGCACTATTAGGACTGTAGATTTATTCTAAATGCAATGCCTTTGGATAAATAAAAATTATTTGTAACAATAAGTGAATAATAAAACAGACTTCTACAAAGCTCTTACATTCCTGCATTGTTTACTTATTTATTGTTAAAATATTTAATATTGTGAAATATAATGCACATAAAATATTTTTAAATTATAGATGTTGAAATTAATAGTTATGACATATTTCCACACTAAACTTCTATGTTTTCTTAATAAATATGTTATTATCATAATTCAAACTGTGTAATTTATATATTATACAGTTACATTAGTAAATAGATTTATGACTACTTATGGAAGCAAAATGACTTTCTTATTTTGTTGTTTGAATACTATGTCCCAATTGTTGAGTTTTTGTTGCATTTGCTTTTGAGGACTTAGTCATGAATTATTCGCCTGGACAATGTCTAGAAGAGTATTTCCTAGGTGTATTAGTTCATTCTCACACTGTTATGAAGAAATACCTGAGAGTAAGTAATAAAGAAAAGAGGTTTAATTGATTCACAGTTACACATGGCTGGGGAAGCCTCATGAAACTTACGATCATGGTGGAGCTCCTCTTCACAGGGTGGCAAGAGAGAGAAAGAGTATCCAGCAAAGAGGAAAGCCCCTTATAAAACCATTAGATTGTGTAAGAACTCACTTAGTATCACGAGAACAGCATAGGAAAAACTGTCCCCATGTTTCAATTATTTTCACTTGGTCCATCCTTGACACATGGGGATTATTACAATTCAAGGTGAGATTTAGGTGGGGACACAGAGCCAAACCATATCAATACATTTTCTTATAGAATGTTTATAGTTTGAAGACTTAACATTTAAGTTTTTAATTCGAGTTAGTTATATATAGACAGATCTATCTATCTATCTATCTATCTATCTATCTATCTATCTATCTATCTATCTATCTGGTGTGAAGCAAAGGTCCAGTTTTATTCTTCTGCATCTGTTTAGCCAGTTTTTCAGGCACCATATATTGAATGTAATCCCTTTCTCGCTTGTTTGTTTTCGTCAGCTTTGTTGAAGATCAGTTGTTTGTAGGTGTTGTAGCTTTATTTCAGGGGTCTCTGCCCTGTTCTATGTGTCTATTTTTGTGAATTATTATTTTTAAGACAAGATTATGTCATGTCATCATGTCCTTTTTAAAGTATAAATTGCTTTCTAAATGCTTAATTATAAAATGTAATATATATTATCTGGCGTTCTAGTTTCTCCATATCCTACATAATATATAATTTTTCAGTTATAACTTCATACTGCCCCTCAAAAGCTATTAATCAAACACAATCTAGCAAAACAGAATCTATTAAATGTTTTCCCACAACATACTTATTCCAATCTACAGTATTGTGCCTTTTTATCTTTCTTGCATAAATCTCCCTCCATGTATTACTCCACCATATTATTGTATTCTTTTTTCCCATTAGATAGATGTTGACTTTAGAATATTTTTACTATTGCATATAACCACATCAATTCCTCCCACCAGTAATATTTTTTAGAATAAAATATTCCTAGCAGTGGTATTCAAATTATTTTGCTTATTAACCCTAAAAACCTTTTGAAAATCTATATTCTTTCCTCACATAGTTTCATAGTGATAGCTAAAGGTCGATAACATGTGAGATAAAATGTAAATAAATTCAAATTTTCCCATACATATAGTAAAATGTAGTATTGATATTTTTGACAGAAGTTATTATAAACATAAGTATATCTAGTAGAAATGTAAAATGCTTATTCAACACGATTTACAACTGTTATCACATAACTGATCTGAACAACAACACTTAAATATGATTTCTCAATGGCTGTAAGTTTCTATTGTCATTGTGTTCATTTTTATTAATAATACAAATGCATGCAGTATAGTGTTCACAGTGCTAGGCACAAAATAAATGCTCAATTATTTCACTTTAACACTTTATATCATAATTTAAAATGTCATACAGACAATTTTTGCTTTAGTTTGTCTTTGCTCTTATGTAATTTTTAAAGAATCCTCAATACAATGTAAAAACACAATTGTTCTTTAGCCATTAATAATGATTTTGCTAAATTATTTTTGATATTCTTTTAATCTCAGTCATAGCTGATTAACTGAAACACATTACAAACCACAGGATACAGTATTCATATGGGTATCTAACTATACAGACATCTGTTAGGTTATAAATCCCGGCATAAATAGATCATCAAATTGATTCATAAGTTGCATAGAGGACAATGTTATGACCCAAATGTTAAATATCCAGCTAGTTTAGAGGGCACCCAGAAACTATGTTTTATCAATAAAGTTACTGCATACAGATATAAGAACATGAAGAGAGCTTGATATGAAGTAATTTAAATGCAACGCATTAGTGCATAATGTAATTAAAGAAATGTTTAGAAGACAAGATATATAAAACAAGACAATCTGAGAAACTAGATTTTTAAGTGAGCAACATGTTAAATATGGATTACTTTGCCATAGCAAAGTGAGATATGAGATCTCTCCTCTGCTACCTAAATGATTAGGAATGTAATTTAGTAATCACTATAGTGAGATAAATGAGATATAAATGCAATTATTCATCTGTTTTGGAATACTAAATGTTTACATATATTGTATGTTTTTCAAAATTACAGAAATGCTGCTTTAATTTATAATATATAGCAAAGATAAAAGCAAAAGCTTGAAGGAAAGATAAAAAACAATCTGAACAAGATGGCATAGGCTTACCTCGTCCTCACATCAGTCACCCTCCAAACCCCAAATAACACTGTCAACCATGGAAATAAAACAATAGGAAGCCAAATGAGTAATCTGAGAAACTAAGAGATAAAAGACACATTGGTTAGGGACTCCAAGACTGAAGGGACAGTGTTTAGGTAAGGACTCTTTTAACCCCTTATCCAAAAGCAGAATGTCCAGAGTTTTCTGATTTCCATACTAGTTACAGAAGGCAACGAGGTCGTCTCACTCTTTCATTAGGTCAAAAGAGTGTCCTGGTAAGCCCAGCAGTACCAGCAAGTGGGGATCAACCAAAATCCCAACTGGCAAACAGCAATAGAAAGAACTTTCTCCCATTCAAAGATGCCAGATAGTCAGAATATCCAGCAAAAGGCATTGCACCACAGTAAGTGCCAGGTCAGCGTGTGCTACTGTTATTTATCTTTGTGAACCAAATAGTCCTTTCCACTACAGAGACACCAAAACAGTTGAGCAGCTTCTGAAGAGAAAATTCACCCCTTAAAAATATGCCAATTCTGGAAAATGTTCTATGTCACCAGAGACTATAGGAATCCTTCTCCAGCTAGAACTATTGGGTTCTAGACAATACTGGCAATTAAGATAACCACAGAATATGTGATCAGGCCTAGGAAGCACACCTCCTCCCATAAGCCAAATAACTCTATCTACCACGGACAGACCCCAGACACTGAGGAGATCCAGGCATGGCCAATTCACTTACAATAAACACTAGGTCTAGAATGCACTTGTTGCCCACACTGGCCAGAAAGTCTCTCCTCCTTCTTTGAGCCATCAGGGCCTAGGTAAACTTCTTCTACCCAGTCAAGCAACATATTCAGAGAACAGTGTAAACCCCAGCATATAAAAAACTGGACAATACCAATAGAACTAAACCAAGCAGACCAAAACTGCATAGCGAAAATTTTGAAAATTACAATGTTAATGGAACCAGACCCCCAAAAAAGCAGGCCTGTGTGATAAACTTGAATAACTGTCTTCTCAAATACAGCATTTAAATTGTACCTATAATCTTCTAATATATTAGACAAAATGTCCTGAATAAAATTAATAGTCATCTACTATAAAAAAGCCAGGAAAATCAAAATTTAAGTGAAGAAAAATAAGTGACACCAAATCAGAGATAAATCAGACATGTATTTTAGAGCAGTCATTATAAAATGTTGCAATAAGCAATAAAAAATTCTCTTGAAATCAATTATGAAACAAAAAATTAGAGCAGAGAAATAGAATTTATAAAAGATACCAAAGGGGAATTATAGAATAACTCACATTGTAAATTACCGAAAATAATTGACAGTAATTTTAAAATAGTGTGAAAAAATATTTAAAATAAGGAAATAAAACTCACTGAATGAACTCAATAATTGAGTGTCTAAGACAGAGGATGGAACCAATTAACTTGAGGAATGATCAATAAAATTATATGTACTAAACAACAGTCTGGGTATGGTGGCTCACGTCTGTAATCCCAGCACTTTGGGAGGCTGAGGCATGCTGAACACTAGAGGTCAGGAGTTTGAGACCAGCCTGGCCAACATGGTGAAACCCCCTCTCTATTAAAATCACTAAAATTAGCTGGGCGTGGTGGCATACACCTGTAATCCCAGCTACTCAGGAGGCTGACAAACAAGAATCGCCTCCTGGGAGGCGGAGGTTGTAGTGAGCTGAGATTGTGCCACTACACTCTAGCCTTGGTGACAGAGTGAGACTATCTCAAAAACAAACAAACAAAAACAAACAAAAAATCCTAAACAACAAAGAGAATGTAATTAAATAACAAAATGAAATAATTAAATAACAAAATGAAGAGACCCTCTGGGACCTATGGGGCAATAACAAAAAATTCAACATTCAGATGACTGAAGTCCCAGGTTGAGAAAAAAAGATAATGGAACTGAAAGAATATTCCAAAGAATGGCTGAAAACATCACAAATCTGACAAAAATATAACCCTGTTGATCCAAAAAAAGCTAAAAGAACCTCAAAATAAGATAGGCTCAAGAAATTCACAACATTACATATCACACAAACTTAAAAAAATTAAGGTCAAGAAAAATGTCCTACACAGCTAGAGAGAAATGACACATTAACTACAAGAGAATTCTAATTTCAATGATAGCATATTTATTTATTTATTTATTTATTTATTTATTTATTTATTTATTTATTATTTTTGTGTGTGTGTGTGACAGAGTCTTGCTCTGTCGCCATGCTGGAGTGCAGTGGCATGATCTTGGCTCACTGCAGTGTCCGCCTCCTGGGTTCAAGCAATTCTCCTGCCTCAGCCTCCAGAGTAGCTGGGATTATAGGCACATGCCGCCACATCCAGCTAATTTTTTTGTATTTTTAGTAAAGACAGGGTTTCACCATGTTGGCCAGGATGGTCTGGATCTCCCGACCTCGTGATCTGCCCGCCTCGGCCTCCCGAAGTATTGGGATTACAGGTGTGAGCCACCGCGCCCAGCCAATGATAGCATATTTCTTATGTGAATCAATGGAAACCAGAAAGTAATACACAACATTTTTCAAGTGCTGAAAGTAAAGAACAATCAATGACAATTTCTATAGCTATCAAAACTATACTTTAGGACATAAAGTACTTCTAAATGACCCTTTAGGACACACCGTACTCTGAGATATAATAAAACTTAAATAATTCATCATAATTTGCTAAAAACAGAATGGTTATATTCTTAAAGGATGGATTTAAAGAGTAGAAAGTAAATAATAAAAGAAGACATTTTGGAACATCATGAGGAAAAAGAACAAGAGAAAAATGCAAAAATATAAGTAAATACAAATAGACTATAATTGTCCTGAAGAGTTTAAAAAATGATATGTGATAATTAAAAATTATTATAGCACCTGTTACATAAGGTAACAATAAAGAAAACTTGGGAAATTAAAGGCACCTAAATTGAGTTAATGTTTCATTCCAAGTGGTAAAACACTGATGCCAGGAGATTGTAATGAGCCCCATGTGTATACTGCAATATCTAGATGCACCACCAGAAATACTATTCAAGCCAATTCACCTTAAACTACTAAAAGTATATCAAGATAAATTCTAAAAAAAATGTTCTATGGGTTCCTATGGCTTCATAGAGCCCACAGAAAGGCAAGAAAACACAAATGGCAAAAGACAAATAAAATAAATAATAAAAAGGCAGATTTATGTTCTAACATGTCAACAATTATGCTAAACATGAATGGTCTCAGTACAGCCACTAAAGGGCAGAGATTGTCAAAATGAGTTTAAAAAGCAAACAAACAAACAAAACCCACAACTTTTTTTGCTTAGAAGATCACTTCAAATTCAACAGCATACATAGGTTGAACACAAAAAGATGAAAAATGATATATGAGGAGAACATTAATTGCAAATTAAAATCAAAAGTGGCTCTATAAATATTAGCTGGAGTAGAATTCAGGGCCTAGAAAATTACTACAGGCAAAGAGAAGCACTACATAATGGTAAGGGGATCAATCCACCAGAAATACATAATAATTCTAAATGTGTTCAAAATCCTAAGCAGCAAACAGAGCCTTAAGCATATGAAACAAAACATTTAGCATTTAAACAATATACATCTAAATAATACAATAATTAAAGATGAAGTTCCAAAGGAAATTAAACATTCATGGAACTGAATGAAAATAAAATGTAACATATCAAAACTATGCATGATGCACCTAACACAGCATTGAGGCGGATATTTGTAGTATTAAATTCTTACTTAAAAAATGAGGGAAGTTCTCAAAGAAGTAATAAAATAAGGATATTGTTATTGTTCTTTGTTTTGTTTTGTGTTATCATTTAGACATAGCTCTTAGGTCTGTGTCACCCAGACAAGTGACTAATGTCTATACATCTTCTTTGATGCCCTGAGCATCCTTTACTTCTGGATGCTGAGCATTTTTGGCACGAGCATTTTTATTACTTTCATACTTTCTGAAATTTATACAATTAACATCTTCAGAGTTAAGTGAGAGCTGATATAAGAAGATACCTCTAGATAAGTTATTTTTCAAATCCTTCCCTGCCTTCAATGCACTTATTGAAATTGATACCTAAGTTATGCTTAGCAGCAATAACTGAAATTAAAAACTCTCACACTATGTCTTCCTAGTTCACATGGAACTTAATTCAATTTGAAATATAAAATCAATCTTGGCCTACAGAACATACTGAAAATAAAGTAAAATGTCAGATATTGTTCTATCAATTCTCATTTAGAACTAATTCTTACTGTGGACTTTCTTGAAATACTAGGCCAAAATGCACATCATCAGCTTACTATTGAGATGTAGTGGATTTTTTCACTATTATCTCTTGCTCTTTGGAGTTTACAAAGGGTCTCTCCTGCCGAATACAATTCTACCTTTATTTGAAGAGAAGGATTAGGAGAGAGGGTGACTTACCAGAAGTTGAAACAGAGAATAAAAGTCATGATTCCACATACCCCATTTTTAATTATGATTATGGCCTAAACCATATGAAGATCACATAAGTAACGTCACACTTTGTTATTCTGGACACAAAATGTTCAGTCATTTTCTTATATTTCCTTTCTTCCTTTATCTTATTGATGTGGTAACATATATACATTAAACTGCTGAAAGTGAATTGAGTGACAAATCATTAGGAACCACAGTGTAATGAGAAAAATCCATATTTACAGAATATTTACAGAAGCTTGAAAAGGTTAATGTGTGCCCTGTCCGAGTCACAATCTGTCCTTCCCAATATAACCACTATTTTATCTTACATCTTTGATTAATTTTAACTGTTCTGAAGTGTTATCTAAATGGAGTCATAGAGTATATAAAGTTGTCTTCTTTTGCTCAAAATCAAGTGAGACTTTATATTTATCAGGAGTTTGATTTTATTTTGCTGTGTAGTATTTCATTAAATAAATAAAATGTTTATTAATTGTCTGCTTAATGGATATTTGTGTGACAAAGGTTTGGGGCAATTACAAATAAAATTCTTATGTAAGTTCTTATGCAAATCTTTCTATTGCCACATACGCTCATTTCTGTTGGGTATGTAACTACAAGTATAATTGATAGATCATAGGTAGGCCTGTGTTTTACTTTAGTAGTTATTGAAAAAGCTTCCCAAAATATCTGTGCCACTTTACACTCCCACTGGCATTGATGAACAGGTTCAGTTTCTCCCCATCTTTCAAATACTTTCTGTTTTTGTTTTTGTTTGAGATAAGGCCTTAATCTGTCACCCAGAATAGAGTGTAGTATTGTGACCATGGCTCATGGTAGCCTTGAACTCCTGGGCTCAAGTGGTCTTGCTGCCTTAGCCTGCCAAGGAGCTGAGACTACAGACAAGTGAAACCACACACAGCTAAGTTTTATTTTTTTATTTTTAGTTTTTGTAGAAACAAAGTCTTGCCTTATTGTCCGGAATGGTTTCAAACTCCTGGTCTTAAGCGATCCTCCTGCCTCACCTCCCAAAAGGCTGGGATTACAGTAAAATACTTACCTTGATAGACTTTCTAAGTATAGCCTTTGAATGTGTGTGAAGTAGTATCCTGCTGTTGTTTTCATCTGCATTTCCTTGAGAAATAATTTTATCATGCTTGTTGGACATAGGTTTACGCTCTGCTATAGAGTACCTATTCAAGGTTTTTAATCATTTAAAAATTGAACTGTTGTCTTTTTCTTATCTCACTATAGGAAATTTTTTATATATTGGATATAAAATAAGTTCTTTGTCAGCTATATATTTTGCAAAAATATTTTAAGACTGGTGGCTTGGCTTTTCACTTTCTTAATGTTGTCCTGTGCTGTAAAAATGCTCTTAATTTTAATGAGTTCAAAATATTTATTCTTTTATAATTATTTAATTATCCACTTAAGAAGTATTTTCTTACCCAAAGTTATAAAGATGTTATCTCATATTTTTTCAGAGGCTTATTTATATTCATAATTTAGGGCTATCATTCATCTCAAATTATATAACTTCTATGATGTGAAGTATATGTTAAATTATTTTATTTTTTCATACAGTTATGCTCAATCCTCATTTATTGAAATAATCATCCATTTTTTGAGTGATTAGCAGTTATAACTTTGTTAAATGTTAAGTGACCATAATGTGTGGGCCTAGGCTTTTACTTCCCATTCTTTTCCATTTCCCTAATTTTGCGTTTTTAACTGGTATTATATTACGCAAATCATTTTTTTAAATTTTTTTAATAGAAAGCCTTGTACTATCACAGTGTTAGTCCTCCAAGTTTTTACTTTAAGATAGTATGGGCATTCTAAATAGTTTGACATTCCATATACATTTTGAATAAGCTAGTGAATTTACACCTATAGATACCAATTACCTAAGAAGACTTATTGCATTGAATATATAGATTAATTTTAAGAAAATTGATATTTTAACAATACTGAATATTTCAAAGTATAAACATGTATTGCTCTTTATTTTTTAATTGATCTTTTCATTTTTCCAGCAATATTTAGTAATTTTTAGTGTAGTGGTTTTTCACATTCTTCACTCGGATTTTTTCCTACACTTTTGATTTTTATTATATTGTAAATGGCATTAGATTTCAAAATAAAATCCATGTTATAGAATGATTGCTTAGATAAATAAAACTGATAGTTATGGTATTGACTAAATATCCAGCAGCCTTCCTAAACTCACTTATTCATTTTAATTGAAAATATTTTATAATTCTTTGGAAATACATTGTTATATAATTATGACATCAGCCAGTAATGACAGTTCATTCTGTTGTTTATTCCTTTTAAATTTTATATCTATAATGCTTTCTTCTTGTTAAGTAAGAGTTGTAATAATATATTAGTGTTATCCTTAATTAAATGAAAAAATATTCAATATTTCTACTTTAAATATATGTTCAAGATATGTTAGGATATCTTTCATCAAAATGAGACTTTTTTTTCTGTTCTTAATTTCCTGAGTTTCTTTGTTTGCTATTTTACCAGAAATAGAGGTTAAATTTTATAAATAATTTTTCTTTGAAATTTGACTAACATGATCAACTAAATTGATTGAATCTTTAATGTTAAACTACCCTTGCATTTGTTGAATTTAGATAGTATATATATAAGCATTCTTCATATACCTTTTTTAACTTTTCTGAATGTTTACAATTTTTTCCGATTAAAAGTTATACAAAATCTGGTTTGGAAGAAATGGTAAGTAAAGTGGAGTTGCTCCTTTTTGTTGTTGTACAAAATAGGTTCGTACACTCAAACATCTCTACCTAAGAAGAAACACAGATTATTACCACAGTAGGGCCAATTCCTGACAGCACGTGGCAAGAGGAAATCAAAATCCTCTTTTCTGGGGGCAGATATATGAAAAAGGAGAATATATAATGTTTAGAGCCATCCATACATTTTTTTTTCTCAAACTCATAAATCAGTTAAACTCATACTTTCTCTCCTGGAGAGGAGTGAATGAAGAGTTAAATGGACCCCTGAAGTAATAGGCTTTTGAAAATTTTTCACATGAAAGCATGATTAAAGGGAATACATGTGCATTTTAGATGTTTCAACAGTATCTTAATATACCCTAAAATTAACCTATAATGTACTTAAATTTTATTTTTCACTCTTCTGGTAAAGTCACAACTCAAGTATTTATCTATGAAACATTTTAAAAAATTTAAACCCTTATCAAATTAATTGCTGGTGATGTAAAATTTACCTGCTAAATAATGTTTCAGCAATGCTATTTTGTGAGAGCTCACGTTTTTTAATAAGAACTTCAAGTTACATAAAACTATGAAACATAATGTTAACAATATAGAGATACCTATATTTTGAATGCTGGACCTCCTTCCATTATATATGCTCCAGCAATAATACAAAATTCCCTTTCCTAATAGGCTTGAGTCCAAAGGAACTAAACAACAATATTCTCAAATGCACTTCCTTTGACCACTTTTCAGTTTCTCAGACAAAAATGGTGATGATTTTTCATCTTAAATATTTTTCACCCTTTTAGTTTTCTTTCCTTATATAATCTATAATTATACCTTTGAACACACTACCATAAGTCTCCTGAACCCCTAAAATAGGCTTCCATCTAATCTACACTAATCTGTTCTATCTCTCTGTTTGGTAACCATTGTCTTTATTGTGGCTGAAGGATCTCGGAATATAGGTGAGAGTACTTCACTATCTCAGCTCATAGCTATCAAAGGTTCCCAATTGCTTCTAATGTACAGGCAAAATGCATTAATGTGGCCTAATTTATTTCTTAATATATTCTGCCCTGGTCTTATTTCCAACTTAGCCTGCACCATGCACTAATTTATATTTCTGCTCAGTCTCTTATCCTTACTTGGCTTACTGCTGACAGGGAGAGGGGGCAAAGCAGGAGTAGGGGGAGGAAGTTGAGAAGGAAGAGGAAAGAGGCAAGAAGAAGCAAAAGTAGAATGACAAGGAAGAGGAGGAGGAAAAGAAGAGGAGACCAACATAGTAGTAGGTGGTGACTGCAATACCTGAGGTATGAAGAAAGGTCTATGTGAGTAAAAATGCTGAACAACATATATTTCAAAGATTTAAAGGAAGGCAAATGGCTCTATCCTGAAACTTCATGGATATTTACTCAGTTCCACCTGATCCAAAAACAAATTTTTGTGAGGAACTCTGATAGATAAGTAAAAAGCACGTCAATGATACCTGAAGGGTGTATCATCTTATAGCAGTAGCTTCAAAGAGTAAACTCTTGGTCACATCATTATAACTATCCAGTAACCAGGAGGCTTTCTAATGAACTGACTATTTAGCATCTTGGTTGTCTTCCTAGTACGATGTTTTACATTCCAAAATAGCTCTCCAATCCATTCTCCAATCCTGTTTGGTGGTAAAATGCATTGTTTCACACACACACACACACACACACACACACACACACACACACCCCAAATTAAAAATATATATCCTAAGCTTTGCCTACTGTAGAATTCATAGTATGCTTTTTGTTGAAAATTCCAAAGCTATTTAGCAATTTAATTACATATCTTCCAAATCATGTTCCCAAGATCTCTTTGAAATATGCTAGAGAAGTAAGACTACCAATCCCAAACAGAACATTAATATATTTTCACGAATCCATACTTTCCCTGCTCTGGGAAAACCACAGATTAATCACTTTTACAATGCAGTATAAGGTGTTGTTGTGTAGAACCATAACCCATTTTCTTTTCATGATAGTCTCTAAAATTATAAGAAAAGAAAGGAAAAGTAAAGGAATAAAACAATAAACAAAGTAAAAAAAAGAATAGGAACTCAATGGATGCTCTAAGTTTTTCTTAATTTATGTTCAGAAGATGCTATATAGGGTAGAAGGCACATTTGTAATTCTCGTTCTTCAAATGGCATTGGAAATCCCTGGTTACCTATGTAGTTTGTAAAGCTCAATTAATAATCTTAATTCTCATTTGTAAGTTTAATTTCCTCAGGTCAATGATAAAAATTGTAACATATTTACCTTTATATTCACCATCACACTGGAAAATAATCACATGTTTTTCACTATGCTGGAGGCACTGCAGTGATCTAGTTCTCTGCATTATTCTTAATTGATATCTGTTGCTACTTAAATTCTTATAGCTATATTTATACTTTGGACTACTATTCATCAATGTTTATTCAAGAAGATTATGAAGGATGGTAATCTACACAGGAAAATAATACACATGTTAAAAACAATTTTTTTAATTTCCATTGAAACACATACTAGCTTGGCCAATCCCATGTGTATTAGTCTGTTTTCACACTGCTGATAAAGACATACCCAACACAGGGCAATTTACAAAAAACAAAAACAAAAAAAAGAGGTTTATTGGACTTACAGTTCCACATGGCTGTGAAGGCCTCACAATCATAGCAGAAGGCAAGGAGGAGCAAGTTACATCTTTACATGGAAGGTGGCAGGCAAAGAGATTGTGCACAGAAACTCCCATTTTTAAAACCATCAGATCTCATGAGATTGGTTCACTGTCCTGAGAATAGCACAGGAAATACCCATCCCCATAATTCATTCACCTCCCACCAGTTTCCTCCCAGGACACATGGGAATTGTGGGAGTTACAATTCAAGATGAGATTTGGTTGGGGACACAGCCAAACCATATCATTTCGCCCCTAACCACCCCCCAAAATCTCATGTTCTCACATTTAAAAACCAATCATGGTCCCAACATTCCCCCAAAGTCTTAACTCATTTCAGCATTAACTCAAAATCCATAGCCCAGCATCGCATCTGAGACAAGGCAAGTCCTTTCTGCCTATGAGCCTGCAAAATCAAAAGCAGGTTAGTTACTTCCTAGATACAATGAGGATACAGACATTGGGTAAATACAGCCATTCCAAATGGGATAAATTGGCCAAAACAAAGGGGCTGCAGGCCCCATGTGAGTCCGAAATCCAGCAGGGCAGTCAAATCTTAAAGCTCCAAAATGATTTCCTTTGACTCCATGTCTCGCATCTAGGCCCTGCTGATGCAAGTGGTGGGTTCCCATGGTCTTGGGCAGCTCTGCCCCTGTGACTTTGCAGAGTACATCCCCGTCCTGGCTGCTTTCATGGGCTGGTGTTGAGTGTCTGAGGCTTTTCCAGGTGAATGGTGCAAGCTGTCAGTGAATCTACTATTCTGGGGTCTGGAGGATGGTGGCCCTCTTCTCACAACTTCACTAGGCAGTGCCCCCGTAGGGACTCTGTGTGGAGGCTCTGACCCCACATTTGCCATCTGCACTGTCCTAGCAGAGGCTCTCCATGAGGGTCCCACCCCTGTGGCAAACTTTTGCCTGGGCATCCAGGCATTTCCATACATCTTCTGTAATCTATACAGAGGTTCCTAAACCTCAACTCTTGACTTCTGTGCACCCGCAGGCTCAATGACATAAGGCAGCCGCCAAGGCTTGGAGCACCCACTCTCTGAAACAACAGCCCAAGCCATACCTTGGCCTCTTTTAGTCACAGCTAGAGTGGCTGGGATGCAGGGCACCAAGTCCCTAGACTGCACACAGCAGAAGGATCCTGGGCCCAGCCCACAAAACCATTTTTCCTCCTAAACCTCTGTGCCTGTGATGGGAGGGGCTGCCAAGAAGACCCCTGACATGCACTGCAGATATTTTTCCCAATGTCTTGGTGAATAACATTCAGCTCCTCATTACTTATGCAAATTTCTGCAGCAGGTTTAAATTTGTCTTCAGAAAATGGGTTTTTATTTCCTATTGCATTGTCAGGCTGCAAATTTTCCAAACTTTTATGCTCTGCTTCCCTTATAAAAGTGAATGCCTTTAACAGCACCAAAGTCAACTCTTGAATGCTTTGCTGCTTAGAAATTTCTTCCACCAGATACTCTAAATCATCTCTCTCAATTTCAACGTTCTATATACTTCTAGGGCAGGGGCAAAGTGCCACCAATCTTTTTGCTAAAGCTTAACAAGAGTCACCTTTGCTCCAGTTCCAAACAAGTTCCTCATCTCCATCTGAGACCACCTCCGCCTGGATGTCATTGTCCATATCATTATCAGCATTTTGGCCAAAGCCATTCAACAAGTCTCTAGGGAGTTACAAACTTTCCCACATTTTCCTGTCTCTTCTGAGCCTTCCAAGCTCTTCCAGTCTCTGCCTGTTACCCAATTCCAAATTCACTTCCACATTTTTAGGTATTTTTCAGCGCCACTCTACTGGTACAAATATGCTGTATTAGTCTGTTTTCATGCTGCTGATAAAGACATACCTGAGACTGGGCAATTAACAAAAGAAAGAGTTTTTTGGACTTACAGCTCCACATGGCTGGGGAGGCCTCACATTCATTGCAGAAGGCAAGGAGGAGCAAGTCACATCTTACGTGGATGGCAGCAGCAAAGAGAGATTGTGCACGGAAACTCCCATTTTTAAAACTATGAGATCTCGTGAGACTCATTCAATACCATAAGAATAGTGCAGGAAAGACCTGCCCCCATAATTCAATCACCTCTAACCAGGTTCCTCCCATGACACATGGGAATTGTGGGAGTTTCAATTCAAGATGAGATTTGGGTGGGGACACCCCCAAACCATATTACCATCTATAGCAAAATTTATCATCAAAGCTAAAGTTTCAATAAACTTAAAGAATATTCAAGGACAAAATGAGAAGTTATCTTAAAAATGCAAGAAAAAATTCTACTTTTAAGAAAAAGTAAGTTTAAAAAAAGAAAAATGATAAGTTTGAGGAGCAAGAGTTTTTATTCACATTGATCAAATTTGTCATAAATTTGTACATTCTAATTAGCAACTGATCATTTCAAGAGTTACTTGAATTTTCAAGAATATTATTAAAAATTATATTTATATAAAATATGTTTATATATAAAATATGTAAGTACTGGAAGATTAATGCTTCAGACAGGCACTTGCATATTGTCAAAGAAAGCCGTTAAATAAAATCAAATTCATTATAATAGATAAAAGATTAACATACTTTTGGAAATGCTACGTAATTCTTATACTGCGTACGTCATTATCTTATGGTGTTTACAGAATGATCCGTTGCTGTGATTATGATTAAATACCATGCACAGTAGAAAGAAAAATTTTAAAAAACTTTTTAAAGATAACTTATTGCCTTTTAAATCAATATAGCAATTAGTTGATTGTGTTGAATCTAAAAACATTATAAACAAATAATCATAGGAAATCTGGATTACAGATCTTTTTAGAATGCAGGCTTTATTTATTGTAGAAATCTAGGGAATAATCTTGTAAATATCTTAAAATCTGTTATTCATAGTCCTTAAAGCTTTCATAGAGGTTTTAAAACATAGTTTATTGAGTTCTTGCTACTCAAAAGATCAACAAATCCCTGGGTACAATTCAAGAAGAGGAGTGGAAAAGTCACTGCTTTCTCTTCTTTGAATGATTGAACTCGACTTAATCAGTTCTTTCAGTTTTGATTTAATCATCTATCATTCTTTGAAATTCCCCCAAAAGCAGTGCATTTACATTATGAAATCTTTACGGTTTTTAAAGATAGGTTTAAAAACTCAAAATAGCTTCAGAAAAACATACAGAGTCATATCACCAGAGAGACAAATTTTATCAAATTGGCCCTCACACTCTCTCAGGTCAATGTAATAATGTATCTTTCACTGACATCAACCTGTAGTTAAACCTTCAAGTGAGGAAGTAAAAGTATGACTTAAGTATAAGCAAAAAAATAACAGATCCTTTACAGGATGATTGATTACAAAACTACCGTAATTCTATTTGTGTAATATGTATTCGTATAAACAAGGCTTTACTCCTGAATAATACTCTTCGGCACATATTTTGTAATTTAATAATAAAATAAGAAATTATGTAATATATTTCCATAAAAATAATCAAATAGAATTAAGGTATTTAGGAATTTTGTTTCTTTTTATTGGGGAGATATCCAAACATGCCTTCTTTTCTTTTCTATAGGAAGTTGTGCATACATTGAAAAAGAGATTTTTCTGACCCCATTTTCACTGAGCTGATTTCTTTACAAATAGGAAAGGTCTAGTTATTATTAGCAGTGCCCAATAGACCTATAGGTGAAAGGATTATTGAATATGGCATACATTTTGTTAGGAAAAGGCACTAGAGAAAAATACAGCTGCAGGGTTATAAAAATATGCTTTTGCTTAAACGTAAATTGCAAAGAAAAATTTTTTCTCTCTTTTAATTAGGTAATCCTGGGCATATTTTACGTGCAGGATACTTCAAGTGATGAGGGAAACAAGTGTAATTTAGCAACTAATAGTTTTTAAAGTAACCGTTTAAAATATTTTTGTTGGTCTCTCGAAGTTCTACCAGCTGGTTTGCAATTACAGAAATGCTGTAAAATGTATCATTCTGGGACAGCTGAATTACTGGAAACTTTAGTGGGGTAGGATGAAAGGCTGACAAGGGGTTCCACTTAGAAGATAAAGAAAGTACAATAGGGCTGTGAAAAGTTTTATTTGAGATCATTTCCTTATCTCTCAAAGACTGAATAAAACTTTTGAAACATCAGCAATCCAGAGCAATCCACTTTCCTCTGACCTGAGCTTCTATAAGCCAACTGCTGCAGTTCAATACTTTGATTTGCCAGGAACAAAAAAAGAAGAAAAGAGAAAAAAGCCTGGTTTGTTGTATCAAGCAAAGCAAATTCTGTTACATAGTCAGGTCAGGAGATGAAGTGCATTGTTTATTCAAATGTGTTTTTAAATAGAGAAGTGTTATATCAAACATGTAATTATAATAATTATAATACAAATACAACTTATATTAATACAAATAAAATTTATATTAAGATAATATACATTTTAATAGAAATGATAAATAAAATGTATATTACATAACCCTTAATATACTCAGTCATAAGGTAAAATCTAATGATATTTTTCCCAATGACTTAGAAAACACCTGGTGGAACTTCCAGATTTCCTTTCCTCTCTATTATATTTTCCACACACCCACTGAAAGGGATCAACTCCTTTGTAAACTGGATCTGTCTACTTATTATTTAGACTAAATCTCTTGCTCCTGTTTTTTTTAACTATATTCCAGCATGTTGTTAAGCAATTTTATATGTACTTATTTGTCTTCTGAAATGAAAAACAGTAAAATGAAGTATCGCTTGAGTTCTCTTGTGCTCTTTGGATTGTTGGTGTCACTCTTGCTTTCATGCTAGCAAACTGCAACTTAGCAAATTCTGTACCTCTTGCCATTCCCATCATTTATTTTTTGAATTATTACTTGAATCATATCAATGTACTGGAATTCCATTGCCAAGGACACTAAGAACACTTTGGTTACTAAATCATGTGGGCATATACATGTCACAATTCAACAGTAATTATCATTGTTTTGTAGTGTTTCCCTCCCTCTTTTCCATTGGCTTCCTTGACACCATATTCTTCTACTTCTCTGGCCTGGCCCTCTCTTCTCAGTCTTTCTTATGAATGCTGCATGCACCATTAAAATATTAAATGTTAATTTCCCCAGTTGTTTTTTTTTGGGGGGGGGCTATCTCATTTCTCTTCTGTCTGCATCCACTCCTTCTGTTGGGGTGACCCACTCCATAACTCAACCTTCTATAAGCTAATAAGTACAATCACCATTTCAAACCCACCTCCATTTCTCATAAGTTCAACAGTTATCTATTCTTGATTTGGACATTTGGGGGCCATATGACATCTCTAATTACAACACAAAAGAAACTGAATTCATTGTATTTTTTTTCAAAATACTTTTTTAGTATTCTTTATTTTACAGCTAGATATTATAATTCACCACTCTTTATAACTATCCATTTTGCTCTTAATTCAGCTTTCAATTATGTCATTGTCTTTTTCTTCTGGGCCATGTATTCCTTTGCTATATTATGTCTGTCCTCAAATATCTGGTTTTCTACTTTAGAGTGTCTCCTGCTACTTTAATCTCTAAATCTTCATGAATTGTAAGACATCTAACGGCCATACAACACTGTAACTTCATTGCTCTTCTGAATCTGAGGCAATTATCAGAAAAAAAATTATTTCAAAAATTTGTGTTAAGAAATGTATACGTCCTCCAACCTGACTTCTACTCTTAACCCTTAAATAATAAACAGAAACCTCTAATGACCTCACTATTTTGTCATGTGGATTGAGGGGAAGAGAGGACTGGTAGGGCAGATAACAGTTCTGTTCCCAAATAGTCAAAAGTGAAACTTATCTCATCTACATGCCATGTATTTATTCAGAGCTTCACTCAAGTCTACCACTCAGAAAAAGAGAGTTACAGCAAATAAAGACTGAAAGACCCTACTCAATCAAGGAATTAAATCATCATAGCAGTCATTTTTTATTGAATATATATTCACTGTTAATCAGGTAGTTAAGAAAAATAGTGATAATGATTAAAATGACCAAGAAGTATAATGCTAACAACTAAATAATTTTGTGGAAAAAAAAAGAAATAATTTGAGAAACAAAAGATATTTAACACTTTAAAAATCAGTATTCTCAATTGGAATTTAGAATATATTGTAGTTTCCTACCAAAATATATCAATAAATGGTACAATCAATTCATATGTATTCATTATATTTGTCCCCCGCCCCAAGTAATACTGATTGAATAATTGGAAAATAAAGTAAAGGAAACATAAGCTAAGTGATAAAGATTTAGAAAATATTTAAGAAAAAAAATCTTCTAAATCTCCTAAAACTAAACACATAATTTCTTAATAAGTCATAGATTTCTCTTTGTGACTTATTCCCTACATGTCTCTCCTGCCTCACTTTGTGCCAGGTTGATCCCTGATATCTATGTTACAGTCAAACCAATCTTCTTTTAGTCCTTTATCCATACGTTTTATGCTTTTTTTCCCAAGCCCTTTATGCTTTTTCTATCACAGGGTTGTGCTTCATCAGTAAACCTATTATACAACTTTTCTTCTAGATTATCTTCCACTTATCTTTCATTAAAAAAGAAAGCCCTATTTCTGTGAGTATGGCTACTTTTGATACTTCATATAAGTGGAATCATGTAGTACTACTTCTCTGACTGGCCTATTTTACTAAGCATAATGTCCTCAAAATTCATCCATGTTGCTGCATATGACAGAATTTTCTTTTTTTATGGTTAAATATATTCCATTTTATGTACATGACTGACAGAAACAAAGTAGAATGGTGATGTCAAGGGACTGGAGGGAGAGGAAAATGGAAACTTGCTATGTAATGGATACAGTTTCAGTCATGCAAGGTAAGAAATTCTAGAGATCTGCTATACAACACTGCGCTTATAGTTAACAACAGTATACTGTGCACCTAAAATTTTAAGTGGATATATCTCATGTAATGTGTTTTGCCACAATAAACAAATGTGTTTTTTTAAAATCACGCATAATTTGATTTTTAAAAGGTAGATGGAGCACCTTAAATAGTTTTTCAAATTAAAAAATAAAAAAGTATCCAAGCCTGGGGGAAAACAAAAGAAAGAAAAATTTAATCCCAGCTACTCGGGAGGCTGAGGCAGGAGAATCGCTTGAACCAGGGGGGCGGAGGTTGCAGTGAGCTGAGATCGCACCATTGCACTCCAGCCTGGGCAACAAGAGCGAAAATCTGTCTCAAAAAAAAAAAAAGAAAAGTAAAAAGAAAAATTTGATCTTCTTATGAAATATGACCCTAAAATAAACCCTCATAGATTATATAACTCTCATTTTCAGCTTTTACTGCAGGTACCAATTTATGCTTCTTGGAGAATAATTGTAAGTTAGAGTTTAAGGACAACGGGTCTGAAATTGAATTGGATGGGTTCAGATTCTAGCTCTTCCTCCAGCTGTATGAACATGGGCAAATCACTTTCATTGTCTGTTTCCTCATTTGCAAAATTAGTATATATTAATAAAATCTATGACATACAATTGTCAGTAATTTATGTAAAGTGACTATATAACAAGGTCTATCATAGAGTAAGTGCTCAATAAATAACTACTACTTATTTATAATTGCATTATTATTTACGTACCATTCAGTAGATTCTGAAACATAAGAACAAGGTCTGCATTTGCTTTGGCTCACAATGTATACAAGTTTCAATTCTTTATTTGCAATTAACAGAAAATCATTACCATTGTCTTGAAAAATATATTTTTATTCATGTCACTGAAAAGATTAATGTATCTTACCAATATTAACAAATGAAGGTTTTACTTTCCATCTCTCTCTCCTGACATGTATAGTAAGGGTATCATTATCCTTTAGTGTTCCCAGAAAGCTGCTGTTCACAAATTGTTCCGTAGGCTTTTTAGTTTACATCTAGCTAGAGACACAGAGAGGTGGTAAGCATCATTCTCTGAAGCCACTAAGAATCACATATTACATCTCATTGACCTCAACTGGACCAAAAAAAGAAAAAAACTGACACAATGACAAAATGCTGGGGTCATGGGATTGAGGGGTTTTTGTAATGACAGGATCTTGCTGTGTCACTTAGGCTGGAGTGCAGGGGTTCGATCACCACTCACTGCAGCTAAGAACTCCCACTTCAGTTTTTTAAAGCCAATCAAGTTTCACCTTTATATTTGGAGTAAGACAATCCCACTGAGATAATACAGCTGAGTTGGAAAGGGAAAACGAAGGCTTGGGAGGCAATAAACAAATTCTAATTATGCCCCAGATGTACCACAATACCTGGCTTCATTATGCAGCACTTATTTCTATGCATCTTACATATAGTCATTGATTCATTTCTTATAAATACTCTGAGTTAGATATTATCATTATTATTTTCATTTTATGATCGAAAATACTGAGGCACAGAGAGCCTAGGAAGCTTAGCCAGAAACCACCAACTCTTAAATGCCAAGATAGTTTATAAGTGCAAAGAGTAGGGTCTACAATCATTTCTCATGAACAAATCCATTACCACTTACATAGAGTAAAGTATGAAGGTTATTCTTTGTTTTGATCTCCTCAAAAGATGCAATCTATTGAAAATACATGTTTCTAAATAGGGAAATAGTTAAATTATAACATAAACCTACCAAGTTATACTTTGAACCCACTGCAGTTAATGAGATAAAACCGTATGTACTGATAAGAAAATAGCACAAGATTTTTCATGCTTTGGACATTTAGGTGAAACTGTAGGATTACACACATCATTGTTCTCCTTATACCTGCATTATCTTCTATCTCTGCCTGTATAATTTAGAGTGGATTGGCTTAAATATCTTTAAATTCTTTCTGTATTGGTATTCTTACTCATGTGTAGTTAATCATGGTTCCATAAGCACATCAATCTACCCATACATACTGGCATTTCACACTAATAATATATTTGAAGTTTTTGTTTTGTAAGTGAAATTTTATAATGATTTGTATTGATGTTAAATTTTGATCATTTTTGAGAATTTGATAGAATAAAATGCATAGACCCAGAGCTCCGTTTCTACTAATGTAAGTATTTCACTTATAAATCATGTTTCTATACAGCACTTAATAAGTTACAGTATATAAATTTTTCTGTGAATATAAAATTATTTCAGATAATTAAAGAGGTAGACCTATGCTGTCATTGAAACTCAATTTTCCAAAAAGTTTTGATTATTTTTATTGTTGCATTTTTATTTATCAATAGTTGTACTGCGGAATCTACTTTCATTTGAATATAGTTTTTAGAACTTTTATTCTAAATAAATATCACCTTGGAAGAATCATATTAATGATATTTGTTTCTACTTATGCTATTAATATTTCTTTATTATTACTGTGTCTGAATTAAAATGAGAGACTTTTATACATTTTCCTGGAGAGCTATCATATGGTATTGTTATTCTAAACAATGTTTGCCTATGTTTAGTTCTTTTTTCTTGATATTTGTGTAAACATGTATTTAAATCTTTTTTAAGTTTAAAAATAATTTCTTATTGAGTAAAGCTTGACTTTGAATATTTATTCAAAGTGCTCAATAGTTAAAATAGGTTTATTTTTATTATTCCTTGAAGGACTATATACTCTTTTCTATGTTTTTTTCTTTTTAGTTTCACTCAGAAAAACAAGGCTCAATATCTATCACATAGCAGTAAGCTATTTCAGTCAGATTTTGATTAGAGATTATTATAGAGTTTATCTATTAATTCATAATTCAACAACCACTTATATGGCAAAATGAGAAATTATTAATGTATTTTGATATATATATGTGACAAACTACACATTAAACAAATGCATATATCAACATGCATACAGTAACATTTGTTTATCAAGCATTTAGATAAAATTTACTATGTCTAGGCACTATTCAAAGTGCTTTGCAAACATTAATTCATTTAATTTTCACATTAAGGCTATGAAGTGGATAATAATTTTAGAGATGAGGAAAAGGACAAGGGATATCAAATAACCATCACAGCAGCACAGCAGGTACAGTGGCAAAGCCAGACATTAAACTCAGAAATCAAATTCAGTTCCAGAGTTTATGTTTTTAGTCACATATCCTTGTTGCCTTTCACCTGAGTTAAAATATTTTGAGACAATAAAGTTTGGATTCTTAGTTCTTGGTCTATTTTACTATGTTCGCTTCCTTACTATTACATAGAGGAATTATATTAGGTTTCTTTTAAAACTTCACCTATGTGTTTATTTTACATTTTTACTTCTGGTTTTATTTGTATTGGTGCAAGGTAGTCTCATTGTCATGAAAAGGATGCCAAAATGAGTTTCAGCCACTCACATTGTCTTCTTTTTAACTTTTAAAAAATCCACCCTTTTCTAACAAACTGAGACTCAATGACACATTAGAAAAAATCAGGTGCAAAAGCTTTGAAGTTTCAAAAACTTTAGGCATAGCAATAAGTGATGGTCCCCTTTATTCCCAGGGTAAAATCAGTGTTTAGTATTTATTTTTTTTCCTGTTCTTACTTTAGGGTTATAAATATACAAAATTATGATTATGTCCAGTAAAAATAGGCCCAAGAATGTCAAAAGAATTCTCAGCCTCACCTTCTCACTTCTGCTTATGAGGCCTAGGCATTGCATGCAGGGCTTAGCATGAGTATTCTCATTAATGACAAACTGTGTGAACTTGCCTCCCCTATATAGCCACCTGTTAATGTATATCAATAACAAACAACTGGTTCAAACTCCAGGAACTTATGACCCCAGAAAATTTTCTTCCCATCATTTGCATCTAATTACTTATGCCCTTCTTACTAATAATTAAACTTGGGATTTACATATATTCAACAAAAAATCATTTTTATTTACTTATGTGAGTAAATCATTAAATAAAATTAAATAAATGAACAAACCAAAATTTAAGACAGATCTCATTACTGCAAATTATTTTACTAGCTAGGTTTTTCTATTATGAAAGGAGTTTTTTTTGTTGTTTTGCTTTTGTTTTTTTTTTTAACTCTAAATGGAAGCCCCATTTACTTAAACAGTTTTTGGTGTAACAGATTCTAGTACAACAAAGGAAACTGAATTCCCTTTGTGTTCATTGTAATAAGATATTCAGAATAATGTAATACATTTATGAAATAGTGCAAAGTATCTTATTACAATAATTATTAAATGAACACGATAAATTTTAATGCAATGTAACATTGCTTGTTAGGTCTATTCAAAATGATTCCAATATTCCAAAGCTGTTCTATTAGTCAAGGTTATCCAGAGAAATAGAACCAATAGGATATGCAGAGAAATAGAGAAGGAGATTTATTATGAAGGAATGGTTCATGAGATTATGGAGGCTGAGAAGTTCCATGATCTGCCATCTTTATCCAGAAGCCCAAGAGACCCTGTGATATAGTTCCAGTCCAAGATCAAAAGCCTGAGAATCAGGGGAACAAATAATAAATTCAAATTTGCACACCTGAGAACCAAGAACATTGATATTTATGGGCTGGGGAAGGTGAATGTCCCAGCTCAAGCAGAGAGAGGAAGTATCTAAGTCCTTGATTTTTTGTTCTGTTCAGGCCATCAGTTGATTGGATAATGCTCCCAACATCAGTGAGTTAAAAAGTTATAAAGATCTACTTTATTCAGTGTACCCAGCTAACTTCCTCCAGAAACACCCTCATAGACACCACCACAGAAACAATGTTTTGGCAGCTATCTGGACATCTCTTAGCCAAGGTGACTCATAAAATGAATCATAACAGCTGTATTTACTTTTTAAGTGACATTTAACAATAGGCAAAATTGAAGTTTCAAAAACTTGGCATAACAATAAATGATGAGAATGCTATAGCCTTCTGTAGACATAATGAGGTCACTTTAATTGGAAACGTAGATATTGGCCTATTTCATCTATTTTTAATGCTGAGATATAAAATTCCATATAATTAATATAATAATAAAATTTTGAAAAAAGAACACTTGAAGGTATTTTTTTTTGTTTTAAATAATATCACACTATTATATTTCACTATTTAATAGATGATTACCTTTAACATTTTTTAGTTTAGGACCTTGGTCACAGGAGATCTGGTACTTCACACTGGCACTTTTCATAAACTCTTCCCCCTGACCTCTCTTTTGTTTTGCAGATCAAAATGACTCCTTCCTGAACACTCCAGTAATACTCCACAAACTCAGATTTTAGTTTAAGTACTCTATTATAAAACAATATATAAATATTATGTTTTAATTAATTTGACAGTTTGTGACCTTCACATCTAGCTGATAACATATCTAGGCACAGCAATTCATGCTCATAGTGTTTCCACAAATTTGTAGTTGTGTTTTATTTTTGTTGTTTTTCAGGTAACATTACTGCCTTTTGGGATTGATTATTAAAGCTATACAATTTTAATTCACTTTGAAAATATTTTTTTACCTAAAAGCATAGGGAATATTTTCTAGAGATTTGAATACAGATGATTATATGAGTCATAATTTTGTTAACAAACTAGTGAAATAATAAATTATGTGAATTTTATAACTTTAATTATTTTAAAATACAAAAATAGTTTGTAGCTAACTCTGATTTTAATTATAATCTATTTTTTCTCTCTGGAGCTTCCATTTGGAGTATCACAATTTGGATTTATACTTAATATTTTGACTAAAAATTATAATTATTTTATCCCTATACACTTTTAAAAATTTTATTTCTATATTGTATTTGACATTTTCACCAAAAGAAAAATTTGCCATGTAAATTCTTTTTAATGTTTCCAATAATTATACTGTCAATCAAATACATTTACTTTAACAGACAAAGTGCTACTCAAATATATGTTAAATAAATGTATAAATGGATATTTTGGGTAACATCAGTATTTTTCATTTGTTTATACACTTCCTCTTTCATTTCTCTCCCCAGTCTTTTGTGTTTCTATTGAGTTAAGAAGTACAATGAAAAAAAAGTCACTACTTGTATTTCCAACATAACATAATAAAATTAATTTCATATATAGATTTGATCCTCTATTTCAAATAAAGTTTTTTAAAAAGTAATATTAGATATGGTTTCCCGCTGTTATTCCAAATATGACGCATACTATTTGATTTTTTTTTTCTTTTTTTTTTTTACTTTCATGGTACCAGGAAGTAAAGACTAATTGAGCCCATGCTGCCTGGATAAAATGATAAAAAGTGGAAGTTTGACCTACTACCAGAGAGAAGTACACAAAGTCCACAAACACATCTTCACATGTCACATCTTCAGCATATGTAGTTTAAAATTCCTATGTGATTTATTCCTATAAATTTAATAATATATTGATCCAGATAATGTGGTTTGATTCAAATGAAAATATTTCAGTAAAAGATGGTTAGAATATTAATTTCTTGATGACCTTTGATGACATTACTTGAGGTTCAGATACAAATATTCCCTTTTGAGGATAGCCTTCTGCTTGGATGAATGAGTTTATATGTTTTTATGTGAGTCAGAAATAATCACATATAAACAAGCTCAAAGTTAGCTCAAATGGCTCTTTGGGAATTTCAAGGTCAGGTTTTGCTTTTTGTGCTCCCAGAAAACAACCACCTCTGAATGTGAATAAAACAGATGCTGGATTCTCCAAAGGTATACATTCATTTTGACTTCTTTCTCATGTGTCACGTAATCTGAGGGTGGTTTCTACGGTGTAAGGCAACAGTACCGAGACAGGGCCTCATGGCTTTGGAAAAACTACTGATAGTATCAGAACAAAAAGGTATATTATAACGGCGTAAGTGCACTAATAAATGAGTTTGACTGTTGTGCCAATCCCATCTTCAGAATGCTGGCATAATGGGATGTATCCTTAGTGTTACTTGCCCTAAATTCTATATGCAAAGGATTGCTAGTCTTTAATGGCTTAGGCCAATGTATATGCACTATAATGACAGTCAATAATGGAAATCAACAGCTTTCTCTGCAAGCCTCCTCCCCTTGGCTCTGTTTGCTTCAGTTTCCTCCTAAGTTTGGCTTGCCGTGATTATTGACCATATAACTTATGTAGTTTTCCTCTATGCATCCTTTCCACTCTAATTCTGGGAAATAAGTTTCTTATTCTTGTGTTATTTCACTGTTCATAATCCTCTTATAGACAAGCTACTGGTTCAATATGTATTTTTGAGCCCGGCCTAATAGCAGTGGCCAAAATGAATACAAACATGCTATAAACCATGACCACCAAGGACTTCTCTGTGGAAATTCTATATAAGGCAGCTCCCTTAGGGGAGTTTGGGAAATTGTAGGATGCATTTTATTCATCTAGTTTCAGATATGCCTACACAAATGTGCTGTGTATATACACACATTAAATGTATATTTATATTTATAGAGAATCTTACCTTGCTATGCAATTGTTATGTAAATCCTCACAAAGAACATAACATTCTTATACAACTTATTTTATGTTGGTATGATTATCTACAAAACATAGAAAAACTGAGAGTCAAGATAATAAAATGACTCATTTAAGTTTAGGAAAGTTGTAAATGGCAAAACAAGTAATTAAATGAAAATCTCACATGGCATGTGCAGACTTCTTTCTACCACAGAGAAATTTCTTTAACCCAGAGTCCCAAATGTGCTCCATAGAATTCCATGGATTTTATTTTAAATATGTTTACTCTTAACATAACTCTACAGACTATTAAATGAAATTTCTTTCTATATATGTATGTTTTGTCTGCATAACTGTAGCAACATTATCAAATGCAGCAGTATGGAAAAATGAAAACAGAAAACCACTCATAATAGTTAACTCAAAGTTAATTATAATGAATAGTTTAACAGCTTCCTTGGTATGTAGTTATATGATGTAACTGAATTAAAACATAAAAGAATAATTCTAGGCTACTATTACTTAGAGAGTAACATGGTAACTTACAAGTAGAGCCTCATAAGTTATTATACTATTACACATACACACAAAAATTATGTTAAGGGGTGCATAACGATTTTTATGTTTAACTAATGACTGTTTCCAATAAACAGAGGCTTTCTATATGACTCCTAAGTTGCTTGACATGTTTCTTATTGTGGACTCATAAATAAAATATGTAACAAAAATTATGTGCCCATCTAGGACACATTTTTGTTTTCCAAAATATTGTAAAAGTGAAATAATTAGGTTAAATTTCATAAACTCTTTAAAGGTTTTAATGTATACTATTGCTATGGTTTGAATGTGTCCCCTAAATCTGTTAAATGTGTTAGAAACTTAATTGCTATTGTAACAATATTAAACTGTGATACTTTTAGGCCATAAGAGATTTGCCTTCATAAAGGGATTAATGCTCTTATGATGGGATTGGCTAGTTATCATGAGAGTGGGCTCCTGATAAAAGGATGTTTGGCCCTCATTTCCTCTCTATCTAAAGTGCTCAGTTCCACATCTGCCATAGGATAAAACAGCAAGAAAGCCCTCATCAGATGTCAGTTTCACGTACTTGGACGTCCCAGCTCCCAGAACTATAAGCCAAAATAAATTTCTTTCTTTATAAATTACCCAGTCTTTGGTATTCTGTTATAGCAGCAGAAATGGACTAAGACACTTATGAAACTGCCTTTCCCAAAGTTTTACTTTATTTACAATTTGATAATTATGATGAAAATCTCTAACCAAGGAGTTTGTCAGCTTCAAAGAGCACTACCAGCTTTACAAAGAAATAGAAAATCATATCTAAAATTGTTATAAGAATTGGATATTTATATATGGCTTGCTACTGCACATCATTAACTAACTCTGCATTCAATAACATATTAGTAACTCCAATTTGGCTATGGTGGGTATGTCTATTTATTCCACGGAAACCAGTAAACATCACAAATCAAATTTTATTTTTTCAAGAAGCCAGTTGTTAAACACTTACCGGCACAAAACTGTACAGACACACACACACACACACACACACACACACACATTTCTTAATACAATGTATGTAGATTAAGCATATACACAACCAAGGAAAAATGCAAAGGTTGATAAAACACATTTAATTAAAATTTGCCACTGGGGTGGGAAATATGAATGAGAAATATGGATGAAATGCTTGTATAAATAAATATTGAAAGAAAAGCAGGATATTGTAAAAACCAATGAAGATACTGTGCTATGAGCTAACAAATATGAGCAAGTAAATTTTTTGCATGTGAAGTAAACAAGTAGAGCATGAAAGAAACAGAGCATTTTTGTACCTGTTGACTTATCCCATACATTTAAATATTAACAGTTAAGGATTTAACTATTAGCATTAAGTATTTAAAATCAGTTGTAAGGATGCATTGTGTTTATCATGATTCTAGTCTAAAACACTTACTTCATATCCATACCTTAATTTGATTAAGGCTCACATATATATAATTCCCCATAGTGCTGATTTTTGTTTGAAAATAATAGATCTTGTATCAACCTTTCTTAGTATTTTGTAATAAGAAATGTGTTTTTTTTGGTATTTTTTTCTGTTTCTTTTAATTCTGTAAAATTCATGAGGTAAATTAGCAGTGTACAGCAGACAGGAGATATTTTATGTCATTACTGACTAAAGTAAAACCTCATGAGATAGGTTACATTGTCTTTCAAAGGGCCATTGTACTTATTTAGTTATTGTGTGGAAGTGTTTGTATTTTATCAAAGAAAAAAGAAAAAAAATTTATAATCACTAATGTCACTGGGGAGTTAAATTCTGAGAATGCACCTAACAAGTGTTATGGTTGCCTATAATAACTGGATGAAAACAATGACTAGGATATAAAACTCAGATACAGTTGGAGGAATAAAATTTATTTCAATATACTATAAACTTTTATTCCACTATGAGCAAAATTACTAAGAAAAATATAAAATAACTAGGTTGAAATTTTGGAGAAAGTAAGAAATAAGCTGACATTACATTTCACCTTTTTTTGTTTTTAGATTTCCAACTGTTTTAGAGTCAACTGTGCTAATAATGATCAAAACACAAATTCTTTAAATTTTAAAAATTTGCAGAGACATTTTAGCCATACTGATGAATCTGAAATTGCATATTTCTTGAGTGTTTCTTGTCTATATATACATATATATGCCTATAATTTTTTTTAAAGCAAAGTGTATTCTGCAGATCTACTAAATTAATTAAAATGTAATCGTTCTTTCATCTACAAACCAGCTTCACTTCATTGGAGGTTTCGTCATAGATTTACAAATATAAAATTTAACATATAACAAATAGCCAAAGTATATTTTATAACTTTATGAAATTTTATAACTGGAAGAAACTGGAAGAAAGTATCCTATGAGTATCCTAAAATAACTACTGTTCTATCGAGAATTTGATCCAAAGCTCATTCCTTGTGGGCATGGTGCACAAAGAAATAAAATTGTGGTTATATAAGTTTGTAGGTATAAAAAGTGATACCTCATAGTTGTTATTCAGTTGACAAAGCATTGACTGTAAGACTCAGTTTCCAAGTCCTAGCTATGGTACTTATCCATGACATAGCTTTGAGTGATTAATTTAAATACTATATATTATCCTATACAATGCAAATCATGAAATTTCTTTTAAGCTTTGTTCAAAGAATCTTGCATATAAAAGCCCTTGGTAAAATTCTGTGATTATTTTACTTATAGTCATATATGATCTCTAACACTTCATAGAGCAAAACCAAACATATCCTATACCTGTTAATACAAATAGCAATATTTTGCATAAATGTAATTTCCAAGAAGATAAAAATGTCCTTTGAATTAATTGTTAATATATCATGAGTCAAATATAAGGCTTCTAAAAGTCTTGGCGAACAAAAAACATATGGGAATTCATAACATACAATGAAACTCTAATAAAACAAAGATTTTAAATATTGAATGTATATTATAATCATACTATAACATGGTTACATATTGTAACCATGTTGCTTAAACTTTTTCTAAAATTCAGTGCAGAAGATTCTCTGTAGTCAAAGATTGTACATTCTAAATGTGATTCAGAATGGTGAGGATTTTATTTTACTCACTGAGGAAGGTGTACTTTTATCAATTTCTCTACCAAAATTCCAGTTCCCTGATTCTTCATTCAATACTAATCTAGGAAATGTGGTGAAGGGATTTTGTAAATGGAGTTGAAGTCCCAAATTAACTAATATTAAGTTAAGGCGATTATCTTGGTGCATGTGACCCAATCAGGTGAACCTTTTAGAAGCAGAATTTTTCCTGGCTGGAAGCATACAGAGAAAGAGAGTTTCAAAGTATGAGGAAGATTTGACATGCTGTGCCTGGCTTGAACTTAGTAGGGATCTTGTGGCAAAGAATATGGATAGCCTCTAAAGCTAAGAGTAGCTCATACGTGACAGCAAACAGCAAAAACAAAACCTCAGTCATACAACTTCAAGAAAATACATTCTGTCAACAACCGAAATGATCATAGAAATATGTTCTTCCCCAGACACTTTTATGTAAAATCCTAGCTCAGCCAATACCTTGATTTAAGCCTTGTAAAACCCTAAAATGAGATCCTGTAGAGCCTTCCTGGATTTCTGATCTACAGAACTATGATATAATAAGTAGTATTTCTTTAAGCTGCCAAGTTTGTGGTAATTTGTTACTGAGCAATAGAAAACCAATACATTCATTCAACAAATTGTTTTTGTGGATCAGCAAGATTTAAGTCACTATATTGAATGATATGATCAAACAAACATTAATCAAATATGAAGGTTGCCCTCTGAAAAATATACAACCTAGTTGAGGAGATGAAATACATAGATAAACAATTACATAATGAGATAGAAAGGCATTTTATAAGATGTATGGAGGAAAATCCTATGGATGCAAAATACTGCTTTGAAGGAAAAAATGATGGGAGTGTTGGTGTTTTGAGACTCTGGAAGGGCGGTTAGGGCTGGGTGAATATGAAGACATACTTTAAAGCTAGTCTAATAAAATACTGAATAATCTGAGTGTCTTACATCAATTGAAAGTATCTATTACTTCTGCATTTTAACAGTAAATATCACTAAGAGGAATTGTGAGAAATAGAATGGAAAAGATAAATTGCAGTTATGTACACATTGAATTATTAACTAAGTAATGTGGACATTATTCTTGAAAAGAGACAGAGCTACTGACAACTTTCATCATGGAAAGGTACTGATTAGAGAAGTAGTACAGAAATAATAAATTGAAAGGATTATAAAATTGATTAGAAAGGGGAAGAAGGTGTCCCCAGAAAACCAGGTCAAGGATCTATTTAAATATCTTATTATGTAAAATGTGGCCTTAAATACATGTGGTGACAGTAGGAATAAATAGGAACAGATAGCTTGGACAGATATTACAAGGTTATAAAAAAGGGGAAAAGGAAAGAGAGAAAAGATCTATCTATCATCTATCTTTCTGTCTATCTATATCTTCTTTTCTTAATCATTATTTAAGTTCCAGGATACAAGTACAGAATGTGTAGGTTTGTTACATAGGTATACATGTGCCATGGTGGTTTGCTGCACTTATTAACCCATCATCTAGGTTTTAAGCCCCACATACATTAGCTATTTGTCCTAATGCTCTCCCTCTCCTTGTCCCCCACACACCAACTGGCCCTGGTGTGGGCTGTTGCCTCTGTATGTCCATGTGTTCTCACTGTTCAACTCCCACTTATGAGAAAGAACATGCAGTGTTTGGTTTTCTGTTCCTGTGTTAGTTTGCTGAGGATGATGGCTTCCAGCTTCATCCGTGTCCCCGCAAAGGGCATGATCTCATTCCTTTTTATGCCTGCACAGTATTCCATGGGGTATATGTACCACATTTTCTTCATCCAGTCTATCATTCATGGGCATTTGGGTTGGTTCCATAAATAGTGCTGCAATAAACATACATATGCAGTGTCTTTATAGTAGAATGATTTATATTCTTTTGGGTATATACCCAGTAATGGGATTGCTGGGTCAAATAGTATTTCTGGTTCTAGATCCTTGAGGAATAGCCACACTGTCTTCCACAATGGTAACACTAATTTACATTTGCACCAACAGTGTAAAAGCATTCCTATTTCTCCACAGCCTCACCAGTATCTATTGTTTCTTGACTTTTAATAGTCGCCATTCTGACTTGCATGAGATGGTATTTCATTGTGGTTTTAATTTGCATTTCTCTAATGATCAATGATGTTGAGCCTTTTCATATGTTTGCTAGCTGCAAAAATGTCTTCTTTTGAGAAGTGACTTTTCATATCCTTTGTTCACTTTTTGATGAGGTTGTTGTTGTTTTTTTTCTTGTAAATTTGTTTAAGCTCCTTGTATATTCTGGGTATTAGACTTTTGTCAGATGGGTAGATTGCAAAACTGAAATCTGTTCACTGTTTTACAGATTCCTGGGCAATAGCCAATGGTCTTGGTTTTTGGCCCAGCAAATAGAAAATGGACAATTTCTTTATTCCAAGGAAAAGAACTATGGAGATGGTCCACTCAGCATCAACTGGTGAGTTATTCTCCTCAAAATTTGGGTCACTCATGTCTCTGCTGCTACCAATGCTAATATGCCAAAGGCTCTCTTCAATGATGAGACTGATAAACAGGACCAAATTTCCCTTTCCCAATCTTCCTCAGTTCTATCACCATGGACAGTCTGGGTCCATGAAACTTTGAGCCATCTAGGAGTCCTTTCTCTGATGGATTGTGCCAAAGCTAAAGGACTTTCTTCAATACAACTCATGGTGAAATCAGCTGTTGATAGATGTATATGTTCTGGTGAAATCTGTCATTGGCAACTCATGATACTGAAAAAATAACAAAATATTTCACCCCAAATATTTATTTTTTGCCATCTGAGGGCCTACAAACAGAAGAAACTTTTGCAAAGGTATCTTCTGTGGGGCAAATTTGCATTTGTAGAGAAAGTCTGCATTGATATAGTCAGGCTTTCTCTAAGGCCCTCCCTTATCCAGGTTTAGGAAGGATTAACTAGGAGTCTGACATTTTAAAAGTCTTAAAGTATCATTTCCCATCTATTTTCTCTGAGGGCAGCCACATGTGACATTTCATCTATGTAACAAGATCACCTTTACTATCCAGGGCACGTCTTCTCCTCTTCCCATAACCTATTTTGCCACTGTAACCTGTTTTGCAATGATCCAAGCCCCTACTTTTTCTGTAACCTTAAGATGGTATAAAAGCATCAACCATGTGAGTTCTTATATTTTCCAGGACTCCAGTGCATGTTAATAAATCTGTATACCTTTTATTCCATTAATCTGCTTTTTTGATAGTTGATTTTCAGTAAAACTTCAGAGGGCAAAAGGAAAACTTTCCCTTGGCCCCAACAAAATATAGCAATATTCCCTGGAGAAATATTCCCTACAGTGGATGGCAAGTAGATTATATTGGACTGCTTCTCCCTTAAGCAGCGGTCACGTGTTGTGCTCTAGCTAGATAGATACCTATAATGACCTCCTTCTGTCCTTTCTAACTGTACATGCTACAGATGAAACAATCACTGGCCTTGCTAAAAACATCCTAATACCCTTCTGGACTCTGACATTATTGATTCAGATCAGGGATCCCATTTTACAGCACAAGCAGTGTAACAGTGGGCCCTGGAACAGGGTATTCAATGGAATTTCCATCTGTTATATAGCCCCCTGGTGACCAGTTTAATGAAAAGACATCACAGTCATATGAAACAACAGATTTTTAAACTTCAGTCTAGCAAATGGACCCCTAGCTGGATCTCAGTTTTGGATAAATCTGTAATTTCTCCTACTTTGAAATATTTGGGCAGACTTACATGACATATAAATTTTTACAAGCCTCTTCATAGCCCTTTTCTGTGTTTAAAGGGAGATATGTCTCATTTATACATTGATGAGGATTCTTTATATATCAGGCCCTTCAATCAAACCTCTTTCTATGAATATCAATTTTCAAACAGCCCATGTCACAAGACCTGTATGCCATATCAAAAGTGGATATTCTCCTAATGGTAGATTTCTCTACAGGTCTGGAACTTGTCCACGTGTTACAGGACCCACTTGAACCTAAATTTTCACTGTTAAAAATATTCAGGACTATTCAAGTACAAAGGACAGATAATAAATATGGCCTCCCTTTCCAATTCCCTTCAAGATATTAAAACTATTGCTCCAGGGCCATTCCACAAACGGTGGGGACTACCAAGAAAGGGGATAAGCAATTCCATTTGGTAAAAGAAAAGTGCACTGGAAAATAATGTTGGAAGCAATACCCTGCCCCACCATGATGAAAATAGAAACTCCTTCTTGGTAATAATGCATGTCGGAGAGAAAGAAATGTCAAACAGCAAAATGACTGTAAGAGGCAACAACACATCTTTATGTTGACTCTTGGTTTTGTTTTCATTGTTTTGTGTGTTTTTATTGGTTTGCAGTTCAGAGGTTCAAACCTACCAAATAAGACATTGTTTTAATCAAACATTACAAATGCTGAGGCCTGCATGGCACCAAGTTTGGCTAATAGTAGCCTTGAAGCCCAAAGACCATCATGCCAGCTTTCCTGTCACCAACCAAACTGAAGACTGAGTCAAAAGGTCAATAGTAACTGCCTAACGGAGGGTCTGCCTACGGGCTAATGCTGTAGCTCCAGCCTCAGCCATGGGTATGGCAGACATGCCCTCATTCAATTAACCAATTCCACCAAAACAGGCCCTAAGATTTAAAATCTATTTGAATCTATTTGTGGTAGAACCCTTTTCATCATCCAACGGGACAAAACCTTGGACTATTAGGAGCCTTTATATTCAACCATCATTAATTGGAACTTTAACTGTAGTAGTTGGGCCCTGTTGTTTTGGTCCAATTATGGCAGGATCACAGCTGCTGGCATCACATCTGCTAGCTGTGTGATCAAAAAGCCTCTTGATTTAAAAGATATCCCCAAGTCAAGCTGCAAGTCCCATTTTCTTCAAATTCTACAAGTGTCTCAGTGTCATTACATCCTGCAGCCACAAAAACATAACCACATAAACACAAATTGATATCCAGTTAGGAAGGATTCTCCAGTCCCACATCATCCTAGCCCAAGAGATTGCTGTAGAGAAAGCATTGTCTCGGAAGATGTCACCTCAGCCCAAATCCAAGAAATCGCTAAGAGATTACTTTGCCCCTACCTCTTATCAAACTACTGGCAATCCCAACTATACCAGAACTAGACAAATCTCACCACGAAATTCCAGACATTGTTGTTTCTCCAGTGACTGATCACATTGCGAAATCTTTTTTGAAAAGGCAGGACCCACCAGACTGGAGTGATTTTTCAGACACTGGAATCTGTTTGCCCTGCAGCTCAACCTTGCTTTGCAATAGCTATAAAACTGTAAAGTTTACCCCCTCTGATTGTAATTCTAACTTGTACCTTTGTTAAGCCTCCATGGGACCAAGTCCAATGCCTCTGTAATGTCTCCAAGGCTAATGTTCTGCTCATATCACTCATCTTTTTTTGTCTAAAGGGAGAACTTACCAAAATATTCATATTGCGTCCTCTCCTAGGTAAAACAAAATAAATCTGTTGGCCTCTCAATGCTCTATTTGTTCATCTATATCATCTCCCCCTTCTTCTTCCTCATTAATAAACATCCACAGAGGCACTGCAGTCTCTCCCATTATCATAGTGCTCATATCTCTAACCCTCCAGAATACTATATGGTAAACACAGTCTAAATCCATCATCTTAGTCCCTGGGCTACTTACGTAGACATCCAACATACACATACATTTAAATGATCTAGCCTTTCACGTATTGAAGCTCCATAATTATTAATTTTTTTCATCAACTTGCTTCCACGTATATCACACCACACATTTATCCAGCTGTGTGATGGATAAATATAGGAAGATAAAAACCTCTTCCCATCCAGGCGCGGTGGCTCACGCCTGTAATGCCAGCACTTTGGGAGGCCGAGGTGGGCGGATCACAAGGTCAGGAGATTGTAGCCATCCTGGCCAACACGGTGAAAGCCCGTCTCTACTAAAAATGCAAAAAGAAATTAGCCGGGCATGGTGGCGGGCACCTGTAGTCCCAGCTACTCGGGATGCTGAGGCAGGAGAATGGCGTGAACCCAGGAGGCAGAGCTTGCAGTGAGCCGAGATCGCACCACTGCACTCCAGCCTGGGTGACAGAGCGAGACTCCGTCTCAAAAAAAAAACAAAAAAAAAAAACAAAAAAAACAAAAAAACAAAACAAAACAAAACAAAACAAAAAAATCCTCTTCCCAACTGAACCTCCCTTGCATCTGGGGAACTGCTTCATGATAAATGTCAACTACTTTCATGTTTTCTAAATACATGGCACATATGTACCTAATGGAAAACTCCACACTGTTATCACATGCCCCCCAAAAAGCACTGCCTTTCTCCAGTCCTCCTTAGTAATTCTAAATTATATAAGGCAAGGTGCAATTTCCCAATCTAAAGACAATGTTATAGGGTTATAGGGTTATAGTTCAGCCCAACAAAAAAACACAATGTTCATCCTCTCTACTGTGGGTGTGTTCTAAAGTATTTATCCTTCCTCTACCCCAAAGCCACAAATCGCATCCATGCATTCGAATCTTTCTTGGCCTTCCTGTTTATACAAATTTTAATTATTCTTCCCTCACCCTAACCAAGCATCAACAATGTGCTACATTCATACCTATAATATTTGAAGTTGCCACCACTTTGGGACTTGATGGAATGGATGCAGGAACCATCACTCTTACTAAATAATAAAAAATAATTAACACTAACCTAAAACATCCAAAACTCTAGTTTTTCAAGTATGCTAAATACTAGACTTACTTAAACAAGGCTAGGAAAAAATGACAAAAATAGGTTTTAGTAATAAATCATCACTTAATTATTTATTAGCTAATCAAAGGGGTGTTTATAATATTAATATTTATATGTGGATTAACAACATTAGTGAAGCAGCCACTCTAACAGAATGTATGAGCCATGAAATCATCATAATACCATAACCCACAATTTTAACATATTTTGTAACTCAACAAAAATATTACTGGAGGCCCTTGTCATGACTAATTTATTCTTTTACTTAACTCCAAACAAATGAAATCCTGGTTAATAGCTGACCTTCAGGGAATCTCCATGCTTTTACTTGGTTTATTTATCCTTAATGTCATAGAAACAGTTTTCTATGTTGTTTAGAGCAACAGATGTCCTGCTTTCTGGAAGTCTTCTCTACTATTTGGACCAATCAGATATCCAAAATTATCCAGCTCAAAATTGATATCAAGACATCAAGATGTCAATTGTAGTATAATAATTGATGAGTGTTGCCTTGACCTGGGTTTGAAGTTATCGCTAAAATCCTCAGAGCTCCCTTCTTGGGCAGTTTGCTGAGTCCCCACTCCGAACACATCCCACTCTCTGAGACCACTAGGCACAGACCACAATTATCCTTATTCTCCAAGATCCAACACTCTGGGATCAGGACCTAAGCAAGCAGGGACAGCTGCTGTGCCCAATAGTTCATAGAATTGTTCAAATTAGACAAAGCCTGGTGAACTTTAGCTTCCCCTTCCTTATTTGTCATATATAAGTTGCCCCTACGACACAAGATAATTGTTACACTGTGTCCATTTACAAATCCTTGTACAATCCTGTATGTCAGCCTTCTCTATTTTGGAGCTGTAAATAACCAAGACTTCTGCCTTTCATCTATCTGTCATTGTGTTGTGCTCCACAATCAAATAAATGTTTAAATCTTACTGAACACACAAGAGATACAGGGGTGGTAGCTCTTATAAAGTACTTGTACTACAAATAAAACAGTGTTGGTTATTAGGAGGTGAACATAAATTATTTAAATCCTAGTGCAAACACTAAAAAAAAAAATTCAAAAGGAAAAAATAATATGTCAAAGAGGAGACAATGTAGAATCAAATAAAGTGCTCAATTAAAGTCAGAGTATCAAGAAAAAGAAGCAGGAAAAGAAATAACAGATGCTATGAATAAAAAAGAGTTACAATGATGACATATTTTGCTCCAATTATACCTATAATTCCTTAAATATGAATGGTATAAATACAACAGTTTAAAGACAGAAATTGTCAAACTGTATGTAAAAAATAAATAAATAAAAAGACCCGATGGCTCAACTGTGTGCTGTTTATAAGTAACACACTTTAAATATAAAGATACAAGTTAAAAAAAATGAGATGAAACAATATATGCCATACTAACTCTATTGAAAAGAAAACTAGGATAGCAATATCAATTTCAAAAAAGTGACTTCTGAATAGGAAAGACTATAAGAGATAAAGAGGTACATAACATAATAATAAAGGGGTCAGTTCTCCAAGAAGACATAACAATCTTAAACATGTGCAGACTAACAATGGAGCATCAAAATACATAAGGCAAAAACTGATATAACTGAATAAAAACAAATACACAAATCTATTACTGTCAGATAATTTAACACAGTTTGCTCAATCCCTGATAGATGAAGCAGACAAAAAATCAGTAAGGATGTAGATTACATGAATAGTATTATCAATAAATTTGACATAAACCAACATATAGACCAACACAAATAGAACAGAAAGCCCAGAAATAAAACTTCACAAATGTTGTCAAATGATTTTCCACAAGTTTACCAAGACCAATCAGTGAGAAAGGACAGTCTTCCAACAAGGGTGGAAACATCCTTGAAGACTAGATACCTGGAGTCATGGGTGTCATTTTGCTTTGTTTGACTTTAAAAGAAAAAAACTTACCAACCATCTAAGAATCTCCAGGGTATATAGTGCCTTAAGATAAACTCACGATTGATTGTTCCAACCTTTGAGTTATTCTTTTTTAAACTGAAAATGTTGAAGATTGTAGGTAAATGAATAAATAAGTAAGCTAACAAGCAGGCCTGTGTTCTTGGAATAGAGCCACATTTTCTTCCCCACTTGCAGGGCCTGCATCCCTTTTCTCAAATTCAAAATAGTGGCGGAGTTTCCTGTCTCATGCCCATCCTAACTGATCTTATACAGTCTATTGCTATGATCTGTCTGGCATAATCAACACATTTTGAAGAGTCTCTGGAACAAATCAGATGCTCATTAACTGTTTTTACTCAATGAATGGATCTGTGATAAAGACTGCCTTTTTACTGAATCTTGCTATATTTTTCAAGTACCATATTCTACTTGTTGAAATTCATTTTGTTGCAGAATCTACAACAGTCACTGTCTCCTGGTTTATGCCTTGCTTACTATGAATAGTTCAATATTTGCATCATTTTCCAACTCTAATTTTACCCACTGCAAAGAAAATAAACCAGATTAAGTTTGCACAATGCATCTTTTAAAAGTACTACTTTGTGTCACACAGAATCCATTGATTTTCAATACTGAAGATCTATTCCCCTACTGAGCTGGCATGTTGGCATAACTTTTAAGACACCAACTAATGTGGGCTTTGTTAATGGAAACAAAACAAAATGAAACAAAATTAGTCTGTCATTGAACTTCCCTGATTGCATTGATTTGTAAAGTCAAGCTTGTAGAAGATAATTCAGCGGTATGAGGCTTGCTAAGATTAGTAAAAAAATTTTGTAACCTATACATATATATAACACAATGCCTGATTTAAAAAATGAGAGATTTTACAGCTTTTATTATGTATGTATGTATGTATTTTGATATAGGGTGTCTATCACCCACTCTGGAGAGCAGCAGTACAATCATGGCTCACTGCAGCCTTAAACTCCTAGCCTCAAGTGATCCTCTCACCTCAGCCTCCCAAAGTGTTGGAATTGTAGGCATAAGCCACCATATACCCAGCCTATCTTTTATATGACAAATATAGAGTGAAATACAATAATCATTAATACATTTTAACTGCAAAGAAGAAAACACTGAAAAGAATAAACATAAATGTCAGTGAGTAATAGTCAAATCTATTTTTTAATTGGTCATTTAAAGGCAGAATTTTTTCTAAAGGCATCATCCAAAAAAACAACAAAAAGCCGTATCTCCCCCATTGCTCGTAAGTTTCTCTCTGCTTCTGACCATTGTCTCAGAAAATGCCTTAAAAAGTAGGTTCAAGATCTGTCTTGTCCCAAGTAGAGTATGTAAATGGGTTGATAAATTCAACTATGTAATAAATTAATGCTTAATTAAGATTTTTGAATAAATGACTGAAGTGACAGCGTCTGAGGCTGGCAGAAATGTCCAGAATCTATCAGAATCTATCAGGTTCTATCGACAGGTTTTCAGGATAGTTACTACTATTCTGTATTTAGGATTATAAACCTCATTTGGAAGTAGGGAAACTGAGGCAAAGAAATGTTAAATAACACTAAAATAAAATACCCTGCCTCAGGACTAGATAAATAAGAGAAGTTAGAAAAAAATTTATAATCCCAGTTTGTTCATTCAATAATTTATTAAAATACTTATGCTATGCTAAACCTACTCCTTTATACTTTATTGTTCATCATTATTGTACATATAGTTAAATTTCCAATCCCTGGAAACATAAAACTCCCAAGATTGATCCAGGAATTAACAGAAATTCTGAACATACCAATAATGAGCAATGAAATTTACTCAGTAATTTAAATAAAAGCACTTACCAACTTAAAAAAGCTGTGGGCCAGATAGATTCACAGCTGAATTCTATCAGTTGTACAAAGAAGAACACTACCAATCATATTAAAATGATTCCAAAAAATTGAGGAGGAGAATTCCTCCCTAACTCATTCTATGAAACCATTATAAACCTGATACCAAAATCTGGCAAAAACAAAAAAACAACAACAAAAGAAAACTACAGGCCAATATCTCTGATGACCATAGATACAAAAATCCTCAACAAAGTATGAGCAAACCCAAATCCAGTAGAACATCAAAAAGTTAATTGACCACTATCAAGTGAGCTCTGTTCCTCGAATGCAAGGATGGTTCATCATAACAAATTAATAAATGTGATTCACCACATAAAGAGAAATATATACAAAAAACATATGATTATCTCAATAGACACAGAAAAAGCACTTGATGAAACTCAACATCCCTTTATGACAAGAGTCCTCAAACACTAGACATCAAAGGAACATACCTCAAAATAATAAAAGCCATCTATGACAAACCCACAGCCAACATCATACTGAATAGGCAAAAACACTACCCCTAAGAACTGAAACAAGACAAGGATGTCCACTCTGATCACTCCTATTCAATACAGCACTGGAAGTCCTAGACAGAGCAATTGGGCAAGAAAAAGAAATAAAAAGCATCCAAATATGAAGAGAGGAAGTCAGATTATCTCTCTTTGCTTATGATACAATTTTATACCCAGAAAATCCTAAAGATTCCACTAAAAGACTACTAAAACTCATAAACAACTACAGCAAAGGCTCAGGATACAAAATCAATGTACAAAAATAAGCAGCATTTCTAAACATCAGTAATGTTGAAGCTGAAGGCCATACCAAGAACTCAATCGTATTTACAGTGGACACAAAAAAATACCTAGGAGGTGAAAGATCTCTACAAAGAAAACTAAAAAACATTTCTGAGAGAAATCATAGATGACACAAATAGAAAAACATCCCATGATCATGGGATGAAGGAATCGATATAATTTAAATGTCCACATTACTCAAAGCAATCTACACTATTACTATCAAATTACCAATGTCATTTTTCACAGAATTGGAAAAAAAAAACTAATCTAAAATTCATATGAAACCCAAAAGAAAAAAACAAAACAAAACCACAAATACCCAAAGCAATCCTAAGCAAAAAGAATAAACTCAGAGGCATTTTATTATCTGACTTCAAACTGTACTACAAGGCTACACTAACAAAAGCAGCAGCATATTGGTTAAAAAAAAATAGAGCCATGAAACAGAATAAAGTCCCCTGAGTAAAGTCACATACACCTACAACCAACTGATCTTCAACAAAGTTGGCAAAAATAAACAATGGAGAAAGGAATCCCTTCAATAAATCCTCCTTTGAAAACTGGCTAACAAAAAGCAGAAGAATGAACTTGGACCCCTACCTCCCACTATATACAAAAATTAACTCGATTGATTAAATAATTAAATATAAGAAAAATTATGAAAATTCTAGAAGAAAACCTAGGAAATGCTCTTTTAGACACTGGCCTAGGTGAAGAAATTTTTTATGAAGACCCCAAAAGCAAGTGCAACAAAATCAAAAATAGGCAAATGGGACTTAATTAAATTAAAGAGTTTCTGTACAGCAAAATAAATTATCAACAGAGTAAATAGACAAACTACAGATTGGGAAAAATATTGCAAACTATGCATCCTATAAAGGTCTAATATCCAGAATCTATAAGAAACTTAAACCCCATTAAAAAGTGGGCAAAAAAAAACTGATATTTCTCAGAAGACAGACAAGCGGTCAAAAAACATGTTACAAAATGCTCCACCATCTCTAATTATCAGAGACACAGATCAAAACCACAATGAGATACCATGTCACACCAGTCAGAATGGCTAGTACTAAAAAGTCAAAAAGTCATCGATGTTGGCTAGTTGCAAGGAAAAGGAAATACGTACACACTGCTGGTGGGAATGCAAATTAGTTCATAGCCTGTGGAAAACAGTTTATATGCTTCTCAAATAACTAAAAATAGAACTAACAATCAACCCAGTAAAGCCATTACTGAGTATATACCCAAAGGAAAATAAATTGTTCTATCAAAAAGACCTATGCACCTGTATGTTCCTTGCAGCACCATTCACAATAGCAAAGGTATGGAATCAACCTAGGTGCCCATGAATGGTGGACTGTATAAAGAAATGTGGTACATATACACCATGGAGTACTATGCAGCTATAGAAAAGAATGAAATCCAGTTCTTTGCAGTAATGTGGATGGAGCTGGAGGCCATTATTCTAAGTGAATTAACATAGAAATAGAAAACCAAATATTGCATGTTCCCACTCATAAGCAGGAACTAAATATTGGATTCACACAGACATAAAGACAGGAACAATAGGCACTGGGAACCCCAAAAGGAAGGAGGAAGGGAAAGGAGCAAGAGCTGAAAAACTCCCTATTGGGTACTGTGTTTACTATTTGGGTGATAGGAGCAATAGAAATCTAAACCTTAGCATTATGTAACATACTCTTGTAACAAACCTGCACATGTTTGTGCAGAATATAAAATAAAAACTATAATAAATACAGTTACATTTAAAAATAGAATTGAGGCCGGGCGCAGTGGCTCATGCCTCTAATCCCAGCACTTTGGGAGGCCGAGGACGGTGGATCACTTGAGGTCAAGATTTCGAGACAAGCCTGGCCAACATGGCGAAACCCAGTCTCTGCTGAAAATACAAAAAAAAAAAAAAAAATGCAAAGAGTAGTGGACATGCCTGTAATCCCAGCTACTCAGGAGGCTGAGGCAGCAGAATCACTTGAACCCAGGAGGCAAAGGTTGCAGTGAGCCGAGATCCCGCTACTGCACTCCAGCCTGTGTGAAGCAGCGAGACTCCATCTCAAAAAAAAAAAAAAAAAAAAAATACACACACACACACACACATATATATACATATATATATATATATATATATATATATATATATATATATATATATATATTTCGACTGGTCTTAAAAAAGCATAGGGATGTTTTCTATTTTTAAAATAAATTTTATGTGGAATTTTGATTTTCAGAGCTGCAGTTGCTTAGAAGAATATAGTTTAAAAAGTGTCCACATGTTCAGAGCATACATGCCATATACTAGCACCTAATGAACTTATTTACAGCTTCTCTTTTAAGATAAAAAATACAGAATAACATCAAATTTTACAAGATTAACACAGACCAATTCAATTATATTAATATCTCAAGTTAAATGTTGACTGTATTTACGCCAGATATGAGTTTCTCCTTAAAGACTAATCCTGGTGCACTTTGTCTGTACTAATGAATTTTAATTTGATGGTGTGTGTTTTAAGATAATGTTGCACTGATGGAAATATTCTGTTCAAACAGGTCTCTGGTCAAAGTAGATAAATGAATCATAGTCACAAGTTACATTCTTGAATATACAGTGTCTACTTACATATTAAATCAATATTTTCAAATATTTATGAGAAGGAACAGGAGAATTTTCCTGTATTTATATTTTATCTTAGACTTGAAACATGCTCTACTAATTTTTATCATTTCATTTGCTTGTCTAGATTGCATTTATTCCTCTTAGACACAGATACCAGTCGCTACTTCAGTACAAGATGTAATATAGTCTAAGAGTTGTACAAATTTATTTAAAAGGACACAAAAATTGAAGTAATTTAAAACCCTGTATTATCCTGCAAGACTTATAATGTACCTCTGTTCTGTGTCACCTATAAAAGGCCATGGTAATGAATCAAGGAATCAAAAGTCTAGCTCTTTAAATTTAAAATTTGCCAGATATAATTTTTTTGTCTTGTGGAAAGTGTAAGTTTAATCCTGCTAAAAAGAAAGTTATAAAATTAGAAATTGCTAGAGTAGCCAACTGCCAATACACTATTACCATATGTAAGTATCTCACTGAGCTTCAGAGGTCCTTGCCCCTGCAATTTATAATCTGGCTATGCACGCCTTCTTGCAATCTTACGTAGTAATAGTCTCAAAGAGAGATCTTAATCAGCTATTCACGATGATTCTGGATATCTGAGAGTCCCAGGCAAAAATTCTTTGTCCAGAAAAAAAGCAATGGTTCAATAGATCACATTGAACAGACAAGTTGAAAATATGCATACTTTCTCATCCAGCTACTTCTCATGTTTATTCCTAACAGAACATGGCATGTTTACATCAGTAGATATGCACAATAATCCAAAACAGTATTACCTATTAACGTCTAAAACTGTATACAACCCAAATGTGTATTGTATAAGAAAGCAAATTGTGATACATTTATACACTAAACATAAATGAAGTACACATGCGACTGCATATATGAATATTGCAAACATTTTGTAAAGTTAAACAAATTTAGACACCAAATAATACACCTTTTGCTTCCACATATAATATCCAAAAGATACAAAGCTAAACCATAGTTTGTCAAAAGATATGAACAGCTGGTAAGCTATACTTTTAAGGTTTGTGCATGTTTCTACATGTGTGCTATATTTTGTAAAAATATTTTTTAAAGATTTTTTTTAAAGACTGAGGTACAAAAAGGTGCTGACAAGCTCTATTATATGCATGAGTTGTGTTCACTTATGGCCGTATCTTGTTGAAGGTTGCAATACTGCCAGGGTATCCTGTATCAGCTAATAATATAAATCTCAAGATAAAATGTGTTAAATGATAAGGAAACAAGTATATCATATAATCAGGAATCCAGAGAACAGGTAAGTTTCATGGCTGATTTACTTGGTGGCTCATTATTTTTGCCGGTCATTCAAGTTCATTTGGTTTCTGTACCCTCTCATCCGGTGTGAGGTGACAAATCCCGTAGCAAGCTGGGCCTATTTTGGCCTTTCTGTGCATTCATTTTTAGAATTGATTATTTCATTATTTGAAGATGTACTTATCCCCACAAAAGGCATATAAAGTAAAACTTTGTAATCCAAAACTTTAACATCCAGTTGTTGCTTCTAACTCCACATCAAGGTAACCCCACATCAAGGATTTACGATATGCAGTACAATGACTCTCATCCAACAGAGCATTTATCTACTTGCAACAGACAACCTGGCAATTAAAATGTCTCATTTGTTTAAAAAAGCATAAAAATCCCGGAATTATCCAGTGAAGTTTGTTTTAGTGTAGGTGCATGCAATAAACATCTGCTACAAAAGCTCACGTGATTTCCTGAGGGACAGACATGACAAGGAACACTTGGCCTGGCAATGAATAATTTTTCTTTGGTCAGCTAATTTATTTGGTACTCTGGTTGAAAATCTAAGAAGTGTTATTATGTTCAATTTTTCCATCTGATTTGGGACTGAGAGGACTCTCTTTTTGGATACTACACTTCACTATATATTTTCTGATAATGAGATAGTTCAGAACTATTTGGATTGCTTTAGCCATTCAAAGGTCAAAAGGATATCGTTGGGCAACATTTGGATTTTTTTCAGCAATACAACTCCCTTAAAATAAAGAATTCCCTAACACAGAGTGTAAACACTAAGAAGGATATGGAGGGTTACTATAGTAGGGGGCTAGCCTGGAGTGGGATAAGTAAAGGATCCACACCAAAGTACAGCCTAGCATAGGGTGTTAGAGCTCAGGCAGTTAGGAGAGTTTACACGTAAGAGGCTGGTCTGTGCAGAGTGTCAGAACATACTCAGGTGAAGAAGGTGTTTAAAGGGGGGCAGCAGTTTAGCATAGGTTGTCAATTCAAGAGGAGTGAAGAATATATCTATATAGAAAAGGAGACACCAGGCGCGGTGGCTCATGCCTGTAATCCCAGCACTGACGTCAGGAGTTAGAGACCAGCCTGACCAATACGATGAAGCCCCGTCTCTACTAAAAAAAATACAAAAAATAGCCAGGCATGGCATCATGCACCTGTAGCCCCAGCTACTCGGGAGGCTGATACAAGAGAATTGCTTGTTGAACCCGGGAAGTGGAGGTTGCAGTGGGCCAAGATCATGCCACTGCACTCCAGCCTGGGTGACAGAGTGAGACTCTGTTAAAAAAAAAAAAAAAAAGGAGCTAAAACAAATAAAAAAAATGGTTTCACATAGGGAATATGATGGTCTGAATTGTGCTGTCCCCAGTTCCTATGTTAAAGTCATAAACCCTAGCACCTTAGAATGTGATAGTATACAGACATAGGGTCTTTATATAGATGGGAGTTAATATAAAGTAATCAGGAAGGTCCCTAGTCCAATATGACTGATATTCTCATGAGAAAAGGAAATTTGGACACAGACATGCAAGAGGGAAGACAATGTGAAGGCACAGGGAAAAGGTAGCCATGTACAAGTGAAGGAGAGAGGCCAGGAACAGATCCTTCCCCCATCGCCCTCAGAAGAAACAAACCCTCATGACACCTTGAATCTCAGACTTCTAGCTTTCAGAACTGTGCAAAAATAAGTTGCTGTTGGTCAAACCATCCGATTTATGGTATTTGATTATAGCATGCTTAGGAACTAACACAGGAGTAGCAGTTAAGCAAGAAAATATATTAAGGCTTATGGGAGCCAAGTCACATAAGTCTCACAGTCATATAAGGAAGTTATAGATATGGGAAGATGGGAGAAAATTTTTGTAACCTACTCATCTGACAAAGGGCTAATATCCAGAATCTACAATGAACTCAAACAAATTTACAAGAAAAAAACAAACAACCCCATCAAAAAGTGGGCGAAGGACATGAACAGACACTTCTCAAAAGAAGACATTTATGCAGCCAAAAAACACATGAAAAAATGCTCACCATCACTGGCCATCAGAGAAATGCAAATCAAAACCACAATGAGATACCATCTCACACCAGTTAGAATGGCGATCATTAAAAGGTCAGGAAACAACAGGTGCTGGAGAGGATGTGGAGAAATAGGAACACTTTTACACTGTTGGTGGGACTGTAAACTAGTTCAACCATTGTGGAAGTCAGTGTGGCGATTCCTCAGGGATCTAGAACTAGAAATACCATTTGACCCAGCCATCCCATTACTGGGTATATACCCAAAGGACTGTAAATCATGCTGCTATAAAGACACATGCACACGTATGTTTATTGCGGCATTATTCACAATAGCAAAGACTTGGAACCAACCCAAATGTCCAACAATGATAGACTGGATTAAGAAAATGTGGCACATATACAACATGGAATACTATGCAGCCATAAAAAATGATGAGTTCATGTCCTTTGTAGTGACATGGATGAAATTGGAAACCATCATTCTCAGTAACCTATCGCAAGAACAAAAAACCAAACACCGCATATTCTCACTCATAGGTGGGAATCGAACAATGAGATCACATGGACACAGGAAGGGGAACATCATACTCTGGGGACTGTTGTGGGGTGGGGGGAGGGGGGAGGGATAGCACTGGGAGATATACCTAATGCTAGATGGCGAGTTAGTGGGTGCAGCACACCAGCATGGCACATGTATACGTATGTAACTAACCTGCACAATGTGCACATGTACCCTAAAACTTAAAGTATAATAATAAAAAAAATAAAAATAAAAAAAAACTGCAACCTGATAGTTTGTATTCAAATTAGAAATGATAGTATGAACTCGCATACTTCTGTGTGTATCTTCTGTCCAGTATTCTGCCCAGGCCTGCAAACAGTAGCATCACACATACTATCTACAACTCAGTTATTGAATACAAACTTCCTCTAAAAAACAAACTAAAAAAACAAACTAGGGTTCTTTAGAGTAATGCCTGATGTGAGTTCATTGTCGGAAGAACATAATTAATTTGAAATACTGGTTGTATACCAGAAAGTGAAGAATTACTTTAAGAATGATGGGGAGGGCTGGGTGCAGTGGCTCATGTCTGTAATCCCAGCACTTTGGGAGGCCGAGGTGGGAGGATCACCTGTGGTCAGGAGTTCGAGACCAGCCTGGCTGACATGGTGAAACTCCATCTCTACTAAAAATATAAAAATTAGCCAGGAGTGGTGGTGCATGACTGTAATCCCAGCTACTCAGGAGGCTGAGGCAGGAGAATCGCTTGAACTCAGGAGGCGGAGGTTACAGTGAGCCCAGATTGCGTCACTACACTCCAGCCTGGGTGATAGAGTGAGACTTCGTCTCAAAAAAGAACAAAAAAAAATGATGGGGACATGCCAGAAAGATATGGTCAGCTTGGAGATATTCTCACAAGCCAAACGTGGTACAATCTGAGCATCGCCATAGAGAATGATAGGGCTATTGCCAATATAACAATCAGAAAGCTACAAGTCAGGAAGAATATATATAAGTAGATTGAAAATTGGATAATGAAAGGTATATTTACAAAGTTTCGAAAGTTCATTTCCACAAAATGTTTTAAAATACAATGGAAACTGAGTAACTCTATAATCAAGAAGGCTGGCAGGCATTATCTTAAACAAGCAATTGTTCATATTGCTTGTTTGGACGAATCGGAAACATGTAACACCTTAGAGAATGAAATAAGAATAAAGCAGTCTTTCTGCTGTGATATTCCTGCAAATTATGTTATTATCTGGACCTAAAGAAACATTGTGCAAACCTTTGTTGAAGGACATTTATAAATAATTGTCCTATAATCTTCAAATATGTGAAGGTTATGACAGGCAACCAAAGACTTAAGTGAGTTAACAGATGTAAAGCTTAATTTCCTGTGCCTGTTCTGGTACATATTTTCCAAATAAATGATGGGTATTAGTAATGTATGTTGTCTTAAAGGATATGAAATTTACATAATAAATTATTTTGTATGCTGTATTATTACAACATATCTAGATTTCTCTTCAAAATTATATTTTGCCTTTTCTGAACAATCAGAAAGCAGCTCTAAAGTCATATACTTCCTTTTGGCTTTTCAATAATCGAATACAGTATATGGTTTGTCACTTTCATGAAAATGCATTTTTGTCACGAAAATATATTTATGAAGCTCCCTAACTTACTTATAAATACTTTAAAATTTAATTTAATTTTGGTGAGAACACAACATAAAATCTGCCCCTTTAATAAAATTTTAAATCTACAAAATAATATTGTTAACTATAGGTAAATATTTTCAATATCTGATTCAATTTAAGAAGTGGAATTGTTTGGGCTGTGTTCTAATTACACTTTTGAAAAAAGCTCGAAAAAACTTTCAAATTTGATGAAAACTGTAAAGTAACTGATATAATATGCTCAACCCCACTCAAAACACATATTTAAAAAAACTACCTCCAGTTACAGTATAATTATATTTCCCAAATCCATAAAAATTGAAAAACAAAACAAAAAAGTGTTATCTGATAAATTAACACAAGATATAATAAAAATATTTAATGCAAACAATTTGAAAAACCAAATAACAACAACCATCAAATTAAATATAAATGATCGAAATATCCCAATTACAAGGCCGAGATTTTCAGATTGAAGAAAGTAAAGACCCATTCTACGTTATCTAAAAGTAATCCACTTTAAATGTACAAAACAAATGTTTTTAAAAGAAAGGCTTGAAAAAGATATAAAATGCTTACATCAATACAAATAAACCTGGTATTACTATATGTGCATCAGACATAAGAGATTCAATAGCAAACACTATTACAAAGAATTAAAATGTAATTTTATAAGAATACAGTTGTCATTTCTTCAAGCTGACATATGTGCCAAAAAACTGACAGAACTGCAAAGTCAAATAGATAAATACATCATTATAATAAATGTAAATACCTTGTCTTCACAATTTATAGAACAATTATACAGAAACTGCATATGAATATAAAACATGACTATCCACCAACTTGACCAAATTATCACTTATATAAGATCCCACTCAAGAATAGTGGAGACATATTCTTTTCAGTCATGCACAGGATGCTTACCAACATATCACAATACGGGTCATACAACAAGCTTTGATAAATATGTAAAAATTAAAATCATATAAAGATGGTCTCTGACAACTACAAAATTAAATTAAAAGTAGTAACAGAAGTACACATGCTAAATTATTTAGAAACTAACTAAAAGAAATTCAAGTAATTCATGGGTCAAATATTAAGTCAAAAGGTGTTAAGAAATTATTTTGAGTAATATTTGAATGAAGATAAAGTACTACATGACATAATTTGTGGGATGCAGCTAAAGCAGTTCTTATTGGGATATTAATAGCACTAAATACTAATGTTAGACATAAGAAAGTTCTTCAAACAATGACTTCATATTGTACCTTAAGAAATTCAAAAAAGAGCAAATTAAATCCAAAATTAAGTAAGAGATGTGAAATATCAGAAACCAAATAAATACAAAACAGAAAATCAAAATAATAATCAATAATACTAAACTTTGGTTATTTGATAAGATTGATAAAATTCAGAAAAGTCCAGTCAGAATGATTAGAAAAAAAAAGAGACAGAAATTTATAATACCAGGAATGAAAAAGAAATGTAGATGCAGATGTAGACCTACACATATATGTTCAATTGGTTTTGACAAAGATTCCAAGACGATTGGTGTTAAAACAACCGAAGAACCATATGAAAAAAAATTATTAACCTTTCTCTTACTTCTCACTTTATATAATAAATGACTAGATATTTATCATACATCCATATATAATAGTGACACTAAAAATTTTAGAAGATAATAGGAAAATCTTAAAGATCTTATTTGACAAATATTTCTTAGTTATAACACCAAAAGCTCAATCCATTAAAGAAAAACAGCGATAAATCAAATTTCATCAGAATGAAGGATTCCTGCTCTTTTAAAAGAACTGTTCAGGAAAGAATCAACCCAAAAAGTGGGGAAAAATTAAGATCTTGCACTCATAAAGAACTTCCAAAACTCAATAATAAGAAACAGTCCTTTTGCTTAGATAGGCACAATATTTGAATTGACAATTCAAGAAAGAAGCTAGACAAATGAAATAATCATATGACAAGAAGCTCCATATCATTATATATTTGGAAAGTATACATTAAAAACACAATGAAATGCCACTACATTCCTGGTAGAAGGATTAAATTTGAAAAGACTGACCATAGCAAGTAACAGCATCAATGTGAATCAAAACTACTGGTGGAAATGTAAAATAGTAAAATTACTTTTGAAAATAGCTCGTTTCTTAAAAAGTTAAATATATACAATATGACTTAGCCACTATAATACTAGGTCTTTACCCAATAGAAGTGAAAGCATTTGTCTAAAGACTTGTGAGTTATTGTTTATAGCTGCATTATTTGTGATAGCCAATGGCTAGAATCAATACAATTGTCTAGCAACAAGAGAATAGAGGAACAAATTGTTATAAACCATTCAATGGAATACAACTCAGCAAGGAAAATGAATTAATATAGACACAGCAACAAATAGGTGAATCTCTAAGTAATTATTCTGGGTGAAAGAAGCCACCAACTAGACGATTCTATTCAAACACATCTCTAGAAAATGAAAATTATCTATTGCAACAGAAATCAGATCAATGGTTGCTTGTGGACTTGGGCTAGGTGATAGGGAGGGATGAGAGAGAAAGAGATTACAAAACAACACAAGAAAACCATTAGGGGTGATAGGATTTTTGTATGTTTTCTTGATTGTGATTATGATTTCACTAGTGTGTACATATGTCAACATTTATCAGATTGTACACTTGAGATATGAGGCATACATTGTTAATTTTACCTTCATGAAGCAGTAAATTTTTCAAGGGTTTAATGAGATAGAATCAGCCGGGTGTGACGGCTAGCACCTGTAATCATAGCACCTTGGGAGGCCAAGGTGGGTGGATCACCTAAGGTCAGGGGTTAGAGACCAGCCTGGCCAACATGCTGAAACCCCGTCTCTACTAAAAACACAAAAATCAGCCAGGTGTGCGCCAGCACACCTATAATCCCAGCTACTCGGGAGGCTGAGGCAGGAGAATCACTTGAACACAGGAGGCAGAGGTTGCAGTGAGGTGAGACTGCATTACTGCCCTCCAGCCTGGGCGACAGAGTGAAACTCCATCTCAAAAAGAAAAAAAGAGAATCATTATATGCACTCTCCTTTGCATTCTTTCTGAGTATTTGAATAAATTATAGTAACCAAAAGACTCAAGTCTTCCATGTGCATCATACTCACCTATTAACAGTTTAATAAATCCTTCTGTTAAAAAAGATTTAAAAAATCTTTAATTTGAAAATGGTCAGGCAACCCCCATGCCTGCTATTATGGAATGTGCAAGGGTACATAGACATATACCTATGTATTGAGAAATACTGTTTCTATTTATCCGATGAAATAGAATGCAGTTCATCCTTGAAATTCATAACTTTATGCCTTTCAATAATTATTTCAATATCCCAAGATTATTTAATTGGTAAATTACTGACTGTATCAATATACAACAAGATGCAAATCAGGATGATGATACAGTGTGCCATTAATGAAAACTGACAATCCTATACATACATTTACATGTATATATAAGCATATGTGAGAATGCATGCTACATTGATAGACAGGTAGATATACTAGACCACTCCTATAAGATGAGCAAAGCAAATAAGCTAAAGATTCAGAAAGGGATAAATATAAAGAGTTATGTGTGTGAAATGGCAATGCTCAAAGGAGCTCTAATGTTTCAGATAAGATTACCCAATTCAATTATAATAAGTGTGCTTAGAATGCATCTTACCTAGGATGAGATTGATGCTTGCCCCTAGGAAACCCACAAATCCGATGTCCTCATAATTTTATCATGTCTTCTCTAGACATTTTATAAGCAATTGCTTGAACAAAAATAATGAGAACTCTCTATGGCTTTTAACATCAGTATACTGGCCTTTACCTTGTATATCTGCTATAACTGAAATGCAGCAGTCTGTGACATACTTAGGCTATATATCCAGTGTAACTTAATGAGGTCACATTAACCTCAATGTGCATGTTGTAACAGGTTAAGCCCCCATTCTACCTGACTGCACAAAGTTCTGTCTTTTAGCAATTTATCCTACCCAAGTGTCATAGACCTCTCCTGTGGATGCTTTTTTTCAGCCCACTAATCTTCCTGGCTCTTATTTAACTAACAAGCTAGTTCTCTGGATCTGTAATATTCTATCTAGGTTTAACTGGTGGCTCTTCTGGTACAAATAAAGATAACCATTACATGGTTAATCAGAAAACCTGAAGTCAAAGAAAATATTTGATATTACACCACAGGCAGTACAATAAAGTCAAGAACTCCTGTAGAGTGAATGAATTTCTTATTGTCATATGCATAGTAGAAAGCAGCTTGGTATCCTTCAAAAAAACGACGTTCAGGTTATAGAACTTTTAACAGCGCTGTGTACAACTTAGTGAGGACAGAGAGTATCAGCATACTAGGACTAAGAGAGAATTAGAAAAGTCATTCCCTGGTTCAGAGACAAAAGAAATTTTTATAGGTCATTTTTAAAAAGATTAAACTATCTTATTCTTCAGAATTGTGTGTATGTGTTTGTGTCTGTGTGTGCACCATTGCACATGTGCACGTCCAAACACATTAGGGACATAATTGAAAGTGTTTTATAGGTACAATCAAAGAAAACAGACCTACAGTTGAGACACCAAGAGCTCTGCTGTTGGGTTTTAAAAAATAATAGTAGACAAAATCAGTAGGCAAAACCCAATTTTTACACAAACTAGAATAATCTGAAATAGAAAAATATTGCATAATATAATACCATGTATTAGATCTAAACAAGACCTGTCTTACACCAGATTATGTGATTATACTAATTCTTGTTTGCACTTGTTCACACTCTGTTCACATGTGTTAATTTCCTACCTATCACTGCCATGCCTGTCTGCAAGAAGACTATATTTCCCCACCCCACTGATTCTGAGCTAGCCACATAATTTGCTTCAGCTAATGGCCTCCAAATTGATGTAATGTATTACATGTCTACACTATAATTTAAAATGTCATTGCATGGTTTGACTCAGCACCACCACCTAGATCCATTCTTAAGTGCTGGTCCTCTGCTATGATAATAACATGAGAAGACATGTGGAGCTCAGTCAGGCCCAACCAAATGTGGACCTGACCTTGATTGGGAGAAGTTCCCAATCAAATCCAGTAGAGCCAAGCCCAATTCATGCTATCAATCCTCAAGGAATAAACGACCACTGTTTTTAGTCACGAATATTTTGTGTGTGTGTGTGTGTGTGTGTGTGTGTAATTGCTGTAGCAGCAACTAATTACTATGCCTTAAAAGAGATGTTGGAAGTAAATCTGAGTACTCTGCTTTTTAAAAATTTAAGTTTTTATAAATGTAGTTATTCTACTTGCTGTTTATAAATATCATCAACACATCACTACATAAGTTATTTCAACATTCTGGTTAACAACATATTTTATGTTGTTTTTTTTTCGGTTTGTTTTGTTTGGTTTGTCAAGGTAGTGCCAAAGTAAAAAGTTAAGAAATCCCTCCAAGCATTGTTAAGGAAGGAAATATAAATCCACAGAACTCAAGTAACCATTTGCAGTCAAGATTCTGATGCCATAGGTAAGCAAGCCAAGTTGGAAATCTCCTTTACTATAGAATGGACTCACTCTTAATAAGAGCTGATTAGCTGTTTTGAAATATCCTATACTACAAACCATTAAACATTCAATCTCAATTTATAACGTACCTTTACTGCTCCTTTCCCTAAATCATTATTGCCTTTTCTTTTAAAATATGGTAAAGAGTGGTTAGTGACTCTCTTCTCAATAGAGGTGATATTTAAATCAAGAGAAAACAGAATAAAGCAGAAAAAGGGTTAGTCCTTTGAGGTTCACTAGAGGGAATGAAAATAATTTCTAATATAGCCTGTTTGTACAGCAGTTACTGGAAAACCTCCTAAAGCATTCATATATTACAGTTAATGTAATGTTATTTGATTGAAAAATTGGAAAAAATATTTTTCTAATATATATATATATTTCAAGTGTTAATTTAAAGCTTAAGTTGCATTATTTGTCTATGA